>NW_003315962.1:0-300000 GCF_000001405.40 Homo sapiens | reverse complement strand
AAGATTTTTTCTACAGCATGGTGGCTATAGTTCCTAATAATGTATTTGTATTTTTGAAAAGTGCTAAGACTATGTCACGTGCTCTCACCACAAAAAATGTTAACTATGTGAGGTAAAGCATTAATTACCTAGAATTAAACATTTGACAATGTATACACACTTCAAAATTCATGTTTTACAGAATAAATATTTATTTATTACAGATAATAACTGCATAAAAGACACTAAAAGGGCAGTTGTTGCTTTGGTCTCATGACTGGCCACTCTTCGAACACAGTAAACAAGTTTGTGAGCAAACTAATAGGATATGTTTCAATCCAAAAGCTGTCATGATCTCCAAGTTTTACAGAGAAAATGATCAATAAGTTGGCTACAGTTATGTGACAAAGAATAGAAACTCTAGACTGAACTTCACCCACTAAAAAAATTATATAAGACTGAGAGATTTTTTCAAATTGTAATATCAATATAAAAAAGAAATATTATTCCAAATTTTAAATCCACAGAGGTCATTTTATTATTTTACAAACTTTAACATTCACACTTAAAAATAGAAGATTCTGCACGGAAACGTTAAGTTGTGCTATATCATAGAAAATTAAATTTAAAAAATTTCACTCACCATTAGCTTTCTTAAAAATTTAATTTCTGAGATATATTTTTTAGCAAATATTTGCCACACTTTGTGTAAGATTTTTTTTCTTTTACAAGCAGAAAAAAAGAAAACTAACTGACTTATTCCTCTCACCTGTGGATACTGAATGCCTTTTATCTTAATTAACTGATCTGAAAGTTGTATTGACAAACTCTCCAGTTAAAACTAATTTTTTAGTACATTAAAAAAATACCAACTTTCTCATCAAAACCTACAAAGTACCATGTAAAATGACATGGCATAAAGACAACAATGAGAAAACCATAGATATAATACTGAAAAAGAAGGAGAAGGGCTGTGATGCATACATAGCTGGAATACACATAATAAAACAAAAGATACTTAGAAAATAAAGGAAGAAGAATTTCTCTTCAAATTCAGCAAGAGTTAGTTTTGTAGCCTGGAAAAAGTGTCTTTTTAACATGAAAAATCAATATTATTTTTTCACCATTGATATTTTCCATCTCTGACTTGAAGTTACAAACTAACTTCAGCAGGAATATTTATAGCTTGTTATGCAGCATTTGTTACACAGCAAGCACTCTCATGTTTGTTTGCTATATTTATATATAAAAACATCCTCATGACTTATAAAGCATCCTTAGTATTTACCTGAAAAAAAAATTGGCTCAATAAATAAATATAGTTATTTCAATTATAAAAAGTGAAAAGAACAACAACTAAAGCAGGTTTAAAGAGTTCTCCAATTAAAAGAACAAATGAAATGTTCTAAGAAAATAAAATATAACTTGATAGACTAATTTTGGAATTACATATAAATATTATTTTGTGTGCACTACTAAATTTTATAAAAGCATTATAATCCCTGACAAGCTCACATAATGCCTCAGAAACTATAAAAAAAATTATAAAAAAAAGAAAATTATAGGTCCAGCATGAGTATCAGGCAAGTCAAAACAAAATATTTGCATGGGAAGATTCTGAACTATAAACCATAAGATATTACAGTAATAAATTTAACACAAAGCAGACAGTATACATTTGTTTTCAGCATTTTTGAGGTATTCAGTTTTCTAGTAAACTAGTTACCTTATTATTTTTTTGAGATGAGTCTTACTCTTTCACCCAGGCTGGAGTGCAGTGGCATAATCTCAGTTCACTGCAACCTCCAAATCCTGGGTTCAAGCAATTCTCTTGTCTCAGTCTCCTGAGTAACTGGGACTAGAGGTGCACACCACCACACCCAGGTAATTTTTGTATTTTTAGTAGAGATGGGGTTTCACCATATTGGTCAGGCTGGTCTCGAACTCCTGACCTCAGGTGATCCACCCGCCTCAGCCTCCCAAAGTGATGCGATTACAGGCGTGAGCCACTGCACACAGCCAATTAGTTACCTTATTAAGATGATTTGTTTTGTGCCAATATTGCTCTTTTCTTCTGAATATAGGTACAAATTCATATTCACAAAAACACACATACTTTATAATTTTCTTACCCTTAAGGTTTATCTTTAGAGTAATATATGTGTATATTTACATCTATGTAAATAAAAATTAAGAGTCTGTATGTGTTTGCAGGCAGTAAGACCACATGTTTAAAGAAAAATATTAACAAATTTTTAAATGTTTATTCAGAATTCAGAAATGTATGGATTTTATTAATACTTCTATACAATTCTTATTATGACCATAAAACAAAATCATGACCAAAATCTTGCCACTTGCCAAAGTGGCCAGATGGAAATAGACATTCCATGCAAATTGGTTACTGTAACCAATAACAATTGCACATTTCAAAAGAACTAAATGTGTAGAATAGGTTTGTAATACAAAGGGTAATGCTGGAGGTGATGGATACTTCACTTACCCTGATGTGATTGTTACATATTATATGCCTGTATCAAAATATTCTATATATGGTATAAATATATACACATACTATGTACTCACAAAAATTTTTAAAAATAAGTTCATATAAGAAAAAAAGAATAAAAATTTAACCTACAAGAACAATATTCTTTAACCTATTTGCAGTTTAAAGCCACTGGCAAAAGAGATGTTAGTTCATTATGTTACCAACCTGCACACTGTAACCATCTTTTAACTACATTCTTGAGTACGGTAGATAGGTTAAACTTAGTGGCATCACAACGCATCGTTGAATGCACAATGATCATAATATGTTTAAAAAAGTTTAATTATAAAACTAAGTTTACATGTAGTCTGAAAATTTAAAAACGTACTGCATTTTATTACATAGAAATATAATTAGTAAAATAATATATTACTAATTTTAACTAATATTAAAAATGTTTTTCATTTACTATAATGCAGAAGAATATTACTCTAAACAACCACCTCATATATCACTCAATATTATGTTAACCACAAAGAGCCCCACCACTTAGATTTTCATCATGCATCTTACGTTTTAATGTTCTTATTCTTTTTTTTTTTTTTGGTGGTACAATGGTTATTTTTTTCTTTTTTTTTATTATACTTTAAGTTTTAGGGTACATGTGCACATTGTGCAGGTTAGTTACATATGTATACATGTGCCATGCTGGTGCGCTCCTTTTTTGTTTTTGAGATGGAGTCTCGCCCTGTCACCCAGGCTGGAGCATACGTAATAGTGTACTTCTCCTTCTCCCTCTCCCTCTCCCTCTCCCCACGGTCTCCCTCTCCCTCTCTTTCCACGGTCTCCCTCTGATGCCGAGCCGAAGCTGGACTGTACTGCTGCCATCTCGGCTCACTGCAACCTCCTTGCCTGATTCTCCTGCCTCAGCCTGCCGAGTGCCTGCGACTGAAGGCGTGCGCTGCCACGCCTGACTGGTTTTCGTATTTTTTTGGTGGAGACGGGGTTTCGCTGTGTTGGCTGGGCTGGTCTCCAGCTCCTAACCGCGAGTGATCCGCCAGCCTCGGCCTCCCAAGGTGCCAGGATTGCAGACGGAGTCTCGTTCACTCAGTGCTCAATGTTGCCCAGGCTGGAGTGCAGTGGCGTGATCTCGGCTCGCTACAACCTCCACCTCCCAGCCGCCTGCCTTGGCCTCCCAAAGTGCCGAGATTGCAGCCTCTGCCTGGCTGCCACCCCGTCTGGGAAGTGAGGCGCGGCTCTGCCTGGCCGCCCATCGTCTGGGATGTAAGGAGCCCCTCTGCTCAGCTGCCCAGTCTGGGAAGTGAGGAGCGCCTCTTCCCAGCCGCCATCCCGTCTAGGAAGTGAGGAGCGTCTCTGCCCGGCCGCCCATCGTCGGAGATGCAGGGAGTGCCTCTGCCCGGCCGCGGCCCCGTCTGGGAGGTGAGGAGCGTCTCTGCCCGGCCGCCCCGTCTGAGAAGTGAGGAGCCCCTCCGCCCGGCAGCCACCCCGTCTGGGAAGTGAGGAGTGTCTCCGCCCGGCAGCCGCCCCGTCCGGGAGGGAGGTGGGGGGCCCGCCTCCGCCTGGCCGCCGCCCCGTCCAGGAAGTTGGGTGGGGGGGCGCCTCTGCCCAGCCGCCCCTTCTGGGAAGTGAGGAGCCCCTCTGCCCGGCCGCCACCCTGTCTGGGAGGTGTACGCAACAGCTCATTGAGAACGGGCCATGATGACGATGGCGGTTTTGTCGAATAGAAAAGGGGGAAAGGTGGGGAAAAGATAGAGAAATCAGATTGTTGCTGTGTCTATGTAGAAAGAAGTAGACATGGGAGACTTCATTTTGTTCTGTACTAAGAAAAATTCTTCTGCCTTGGGATGCTGTTGATCTATGACCTTACCCCCAACCCTGTGCTCTCTGAAACATGTGCTGTGTCCACTCAGGGTTAAATGGATTAAGGGCGGTGCAAGATGTGCTTTGTTAAACAGATGCTTGAAGGCAGCATGCTCGTTAAGAGTCATCACCACTCCCTAATCTCAAGTACCCAGGGACACAAACACTGCGGAAGGCCGCAGGGTCCTCTGCCTAGGAAAACCAGAGACCTTTGTTCACTTGTTTATCTGCTGACCTTCCCTCCACTATTGTCCTATGACCCTGCCAAATCCCCCTCTGCGAGAAACACCCAAGAATGATCAATAAAAAAATAAAAAATAAAATAAATAAAGAAAAAAAAAGAATAGTATACTTTTTTTTTTTTGAGATAGAGTCCTGCTCTGTTGCCCAGGCTAGTGTGGAGTGGTGCGACCTCGGCTCACTGCAACCTCTGCCTTTTGGGTTCAAGTGATTCTCCTGCCTCAGCTTCCCGAGTAGCTGGGGTTACAGGTGCGTGCCACAGTGGACAGCTAATTTTTGTAGTTTTTAATAGATGGGGTTTCACCATATTGGCCAGGCTGGTCTCAAACTCCTGACCTCATGATCTGCCTGTCTCAGCTTCCCAAAGTGCTGGGATTATACGTATGAGCCCTGCGCCCAGCCTAATGTTCTTATTCTTTAATAGAAAAGGTCATAAATAATGACCTAAGAAAAAAAAATCTCCTATCTTTGATGTAGCAACCACTGATCACATGCTTTCACATGTGAATATAATAGCAATGAAGAAGAAAGAGCATGAAGTAATTTGAAAGTTGAATGACATGATTATTTTCTTTTCAAAAAAACCTAACTTTTTTAAGGAAAAAAGTATACTTTGAATGTAATTAAAACTCTGCAAAAAAAGTTCTACTTCTTTTAAAGTTATATACAAATAATTAATCCACCAAATTTAGTTTTGGATTATTTTCTATACTCAGCACTCTGATTTAGTGTGGTGTCTGAAGTGCCAGCACCTTAGATATTTCTACTGTGAATCCTCTGATATTTACATAAACTTAACTTTGGATTAAATATATTTTTATATCTACTGCATCTGCAAAAATATATTTTAGTATGAATCCTCTGCTGCTTTTTAAGCTGTAGTTTTTGAAAAAGTTTTTCAAAATTTGTTACATTTGCAGGGTTTTTCTCAAATATAAATCCTCTGATGTTGGCCAGGTGTGGTGGCTCATGCCTCTAATCCCAGCACTTTGGCAGGCTGAGGCAGGTGGATCACCTGAGGTCAGGAGTTTGAGACCAGCCTGAACAACATGGAGAAACCCTGTCTCTTCCAAAAATACAAAATTATCCAGGCGTGGTGGCACATGCCTGTAATCCCAGTTACTCAGGAGGCTGAAGCAAGAAAATCGGTTGAACCCGGGAGGCAGAGGTTGTGGCGAGCCGAGAATGCGCCATTGCACTCCAGCCTCGGTAACAAGAGCGAAACTCCGTCTCAAAAAGAAAAAAAAAAAAATCTGATTTTAAACAAAATTTAAGCAACTGCTTCAGGGGTTTCCTCTAGTACAAAATCTGTACAATAAGATTTGTGATACAATTAAAGGTACTACAACCCTCTTTAAATTTGCAATGTTTGTCTTCAAAATGGTTACTCTTTTTCACATTAAAGGCTTATATTTTCTGAATGCTTTTGACAGTAATTCCATTTATAATGCTTTTATTAAGTACTTTCTGATGCTGAGTAAGATGTGAGCAGATATTAACGGCTTTTCCACATTCTTTATATTTGTATACTTTTTCTCAACTAAAAATTCTTTTCTGTGCAGTAAGGTGTGAGCATAAATTAAGTTTTGCCACATTGTTTGCACTTGTAGTTTGTTCCAATATGAATTATCTTACCTAAAGTGTGACAACCATTTAAAGACTTTGCCATAGTCTTCACATTTTTAGAATTTCTCACCAGTATGATTACTTTTATAAGTCTGAGGTGTTGTCAAAATTATTGTCACATCTTTCAGGTTAGTAGTTTCTCTCCAGTATAAATTTTCTTATGTTTAGTAAGACTTGTAAATTGATTAAAGCTTTGCCATAATTTTCATATTTGTAATTTTTCTCCGGTATGAATTATCTTATGTTTAGTAAGGACTGAGGACCATTTAAAAGCTTTGTCACATTCTTCACATTTGTAAGGTTTTTCTCCAGTATGAATTCTCTTATGTTTAGTAAGGTTTGAGGACTGGTTAAAGGCTTTGCCACATTCTTCACATGTGTAGGGTTTCTCTCCAGTATGAATTTTCTTATGTTTGGTAAGTTTTGAGGATTGGTTAAAAGCTTTGCCACATTCTTCACATTTGTATGGTTTCTCTCCAGTATGAATTATCTTATGGATAGTAAGGGTTGAGGGCCATTTAAAACCTTTGCCACATTCTTCACATTTGTAAGGTTTCTCTTCTGTATGACTTTTCTTATGTCTAGTAAGATTTGAGGACTGGTTAAAAGCTTTGCCACATTTTTCACATTCATAGGGTTTCTCTCCAGTATGAATTTTCTTATGTTCAGTAAGTTTTGAGGATTGGTTAAAAGCTTTTTCACATTCTTTACATTTGTAAGGCTTCTCTCCAGTATGAATTATCTTATGTTTAGTAAGGGTTGAAGAGTGTTTAAAAGCTTTACCACATTCTTTACATTTGTAAGGTTTCTCTCCAGTATGAATTATCTTATGTGTAGTAAGGTGTGAGAAATGATTAAAGGCTTTTCCACATTTTTCACATTTGTAGGGTTTCTCTCCAGTATGAATTACCTCATGTGTGGTAAGGTGTGCAGACTGGTTAAAGGCTTTTCCACATTTTTTACATTTGTAGGGTTTCTCTCCAGTATGAATTATCTTATGTGTAGTAAGGTTTGAGGACTGCTTAAAGGCTTTGCCACATTCTTCACATTTGTAAGGTTTCTCTCCAGTATGAATTTTTCTATGGGTAGTAAGGGTTGAAGATCGGTTAAAAGCTTTACCACATTCTTTACATTTGTAGGGTTTCTCTCCAGTATGAATTATCTTATGGGTAGTAAGAGTTGAGAATCGGTTAAAAGTTTTGCCACATTCTTCACATTTGTAGGGTTTCTCTCCAGTATGAATTTTCTTATGTTTAATAAGGTTTGAGGACTGGTTAAAGGCTTTACCACATTCTTCACATTTGTAAGGTTTCTCTCCCGTATGAATTCTCTTATGTTTAGTAAGGGTTGAGGACCAGTTAAAGGCTTTTCCACATTCTTCACATTTGTAGAAATTTACTCTAGTATGAATTCTGCTATGTTCAGTTAGGCATGAAATCATGCCAAATGATTTGCCACATTTTGTACATTTGAAAGGTTTCTTTTTAGTATGTCTTATCTCATGTCTGTTTGAATTTGAAAATTTATGAGCGACTTTTACATATTTATCACATTGAAATATTTTGCTCTGGGTAGCTGTGAGACATTGGTTAAGTCCATTACAACCTCCTTTGTGCATCTTACACTCATCCATACTTTCACAGCCTTTTCTTAATGGTAAATTTTCATGTCTACATTTTCCATATCTTTTCAGTGTCACTTTTTGGAAAGAATCTTTTATATTCTGCTCCGGCCAAAGGTCTTGGGCAAAATGAGAACACATAACTGAAAGAAACAAAAATGACAAATTACTCCACTTGCTAGACTTAGATGAAGATAGTTTACAAATGTAATATATAAAATTAAACAAACTACATTAAGTAAGATGGCACAGCAAAATACCATAGGCCCTAAATCCTTCATAGACATTTAAATGTAACAAAAACATACTGACCAAAATACATTTGTGGAAAATTTATAAATGAGTTAAGTGTGTGCAGTGCCCCAGGTGAGCATAATGCAAAGAGCCACATAGGAAAAAAAAAGTTTGTTACATTTACAACACAGCTATTTCGGTTGCCCAATGTAACACAGTGGCTTTAGAAGTAAATTGGCAACTCTTGGTTTCTTTTATAAAAGACAAGAAAAATAGCGGCAAAAAACATTTTTATTTCTGGTTTCTAGGGACTTTTCCAGACACTGGTTTCTGTCTTGAAATAAATGGTATACATTGGAATGGCAGTTTGAGTCTGCTGAGATCAAAGGTAAATGCTACAGCAGCAAAGAGACTGCAATATTATAGGCAGGAAATAGTTGTAGCAAATGATTACTGACTATTAAGAAGAAACATGAACAAACTCCTTTAACTAAAAAAGACCTAAAACATTTCAGACAAGACACATCCTAAGAACATGTTAGAGAAACTCTCAGAATCTCTATCCAAGACAATTGGTTTCAGATATGCCAAGACAAAGCTATATTATAAAGATTGTTACAGGTGGTTTGTTTTTAATGTCTAAATTTCAATGAAAGATTACAACATATAAAAATATTGGGGCAACATAGCCCCATCAGAAACATAAAAATTTCAGAAAGCTATCATTAAAAATAAAGATATACAAATTAGTTTGAAAAACTTGAATAATATTCAGTGAGGAAAATAGAAACACAGACAACAATTGAAAATTAGAAGAATGAGGATAACAACAAAAATATTAAAAATATCAAAAAACAGAAATTGTGGAGGTGAAAAATACAAAAAAATTTTAATATAAGAAAAAATGATGTAAAAATGAAGAAGCTCAACAAACTAGAATACACACAAAGATATTTATAACAAACACATGCATGAGTGCAATTTCAAGTCACAAAGTAGAAAATCCTCAAAGATGCAAGATAAAAGTGATGTGTCATTTATAAGCATAGTCTTATGAGATTACTAGTAAATTTGTCATGAAAATTTTGCAAGCGAGAAGGGAACTATGTGATATTGTAATAGTCCTGAAATTAGTAAAAAAAAAAAAAAAAAAAAAAAAAAAAAGTGTATTGGCACTGCATATGCCCTACATATCAAAGATGCTAAAAATAACATAATGTAAGAAAACAACATATTATTACATAAAAATGCATAACTTTCTGGGAAAGATATGCACATATCCAAAATTAGAATTCCTTAGCATTATCATAATGGTGCAGAAAACATTTTTAGTTATTCTCTAAAAGTTGAAAAATAAAAACACTAATTATTATAAACACTCATTAATGTACTTACAACATAAAGATATAATTAGCAACATCAATAAGAAAGTTGAGGGCAGATATAATGAGAAAGATTTTTTGTATACAACTAAAGTTCATTTTTTACCATAATTAAATATACTGTTGCATCTTTTAGAGATTTTATGTAAACCCCAAGGTACCACAAAAAAATCTGTATAGAGATATAAAAGAAAATTTTAAAAAGTGAAAGCATATTAGTACAAAAATAAAAATGACACAAAGAAAGAGAGAGAGAAAATTGGGAACAAAGAAACAAGAATCAACTAAAACAATAAAATAACATTTGTAAGTCTGTTTCAGAAAATTAAATATACATAAAGTTAACTTTTTAATTAAAAGACATACTTTCAATAAAGGGATTTATTAAAAAAATTAAAAACCAGGATTCAACTTGCCTTTCTACAAGAGTCAGTTGCGATCTAATGATAAAGAAAGACTGAAAGTGGCAAGATGGAAGTAGACATTCCATGCAAATTTTAACCAAATGAGAGCAGAAGAGGTCTAAGTAATATTACACAACACATCTTAAGTTAAAACTGTCATATTTTATAAAATGTACTTTAAAGTCAAAACTCCAAAGAGACAAAGAAGGACATTAAACAATAATAGATTCACTCACTGAGAACCTCTGAAAAATTTCTATATACATTTGTGGGGTGTGTGTGTGTGTGTGTGTGTGCATGTGTATATCTCACATTAAGGTTCCAAATATATAAAACAAATATTGACAGAATCGATGAAACACATAGAGTGCAATATAATTTTTATAGTAGGATATTTCAATACCTACTTTCTATAATAATAAAAAAAAAGAATATTAGAAGGCAACAGGTAACTTTAAGGCAATATAAAACAATTACTTCTAACAGAGGCATAGAGAACACTCCTCAGTAACATCAGGATATACACCTTTCTCAATAGCTCATACGACATTCTTTTTGATAGACAACCTGTTAGGACAAAAAAAGAAGTCTTAACAAATTTTTTAGAACTAAAATTTTATAAATTACTCTTTAAGATAAAAATGGAATCAGGGTATAATTAATGCTGTAAAGATGTTCATACTGCTCAATGTAATCTACACATTTAAGGCAATGTTTTTAAAACTTCTCATTGCATTTTTGAAGAAATAGAAACAGCAACCTCAGAAGTATATGGAATCTCAAAAGACAATAAAGTACCCAACAATCTTCAAAAAAAAAAAACGTTTGAGGCATTACACTTCCTGATTTCAAACACAGTACAAAGCTACAAAATTAAAACAACTTGGTATAAGTATAAAGCTGAAAACATAGACTAATAAGAGAATGCAGTACATACGTAATGTACATGTCATATAAAGAGTCATTTACTTACCCATAATTATTGCAGCATTGTTACTGAAAGCCAATGGGTGAAAGCAATGCAAATTTCTGTCATTAAACCATCCAGCAGATTTAATTTGAAATATAAAATTACTGGAATAGGCTGGGTGCGGTGGCTCAAACCTGTAATCCCAGCACTTTGGAAGGCCAAGGCGGGTGGATCACATGAGGTCAGGAGTTCGAGACCAGCGTGTCCAACATGGTGAAACCCCACCTCCACTAAAAATACAAAAATGAGCCGGGCATGGTGGCGCATGCCTGTAATCTCAGCTACTTGAGAGGCTGAGGCAGGAGAATTGCTTGAACCCAGGAGGCGGAGGCTGCAGTGAGCCGAGATCGCGCCATTGCACTCTGTACTCCAGCCTGGGCGACAGCGTGAAACTTCACCTCAAAAAAACAGAAAACAAAATACTGGAATATCCCTCAGTTTTCAAAAAGCAGGAAATATTCTGACAACTGTAAATATAAGTTTTGATGACATTATGCCAAATAAAATGAGCCAGCCACAGAAAGACAGAGATTGTATAGGATATTTAAAGCAGTTACAACCTTAGACAAGGAAAACAGAGTGGTGTTTGGAAAGTGCTACAAAATGGAAAAAATTGGTAGTTGTTTAATGTGTATTCAGATTCAGCTTTGCAAGATAAAAACATTTTGGTGATATGTTGCAAAACAATGTCAATATAATTAAGATCACTAAATTGAATATTTACAAATATTTTATTATAAATTTTATGTTTTTGATAAGTAAAAATAAACAGAAATACCTAAGATACAGAGTAATGATAGTTTTTATATTATCTTAAAATTCAAAAGTGTTTCTCCCACACAGAAATAATATAGATTCACAAATAAGATGATAAAAGTAGAAGAATTTTTATGACTACTCACCTACACAGGATTAAACAACCATTCACAACCAAACTACACAATAAATACACAAGTTATAGGAAAATAGAAATAATATTTATACAGGCAAGCAAACATAAACACATTAGCAATAGACATATGGCTGATTCATATTTGATTTTGCTTCACACTGTCATAAATTGCAGAGTTAAATATTTTCATACACAATTATAATATAAACTAAAACATCCAAACACAATTAACTAATGTGAGCTGGAATACCCTTAAATATAAAACGCAAAAATATAAAAGTGCAAAACAAAATTAAAACATGAAATGTAAAACTTATTGGACACCATCAAGTAGAACAATATATTCATGAAAAAAAATCATAGAATAATATAGCAAAAAAGTAATACAGAGGTTACTTGAAGATTTAAAAAAGCTGAGAACTTTCCAAATTATGATGTAATAAAAAATTCTTAACCAATACTACTTGAAAATATGTTTATAATTATATATTAATATAATATATAAGTATATAAAAATATATAATAATTATACTACTAATTATAATTACTTTACTTCAAAAACAAGATAAAAATAAAGACTTTTCAAAATAAAAGGTGAGGGTATTCATCACCCCTACCACAGTCCTACAAAAACTGCTACATGGTTGCCAGGCAGTGGCTCATGCCTGTAAATCCTACAGTTTTAAGAGGCCAAGGCAGTCAGCTTACTTGAGACTAGGAGTTGAAGATCAGCCTGAGCAACATAGTGAGACACTGCATACAAAATAAAAAAGAAAGGCTAAATGAGTCCATTATGTTAAAAAATAAAATGATGCTGAACAGCATCATAAAAACATATATAAATAAAAAACTATTAAATATATCAACACATAAAATTATTTATTATCAAAATAATGGTGCATAAAACTCTTAAATTTCCTCTATAGAATATGAAAAACAAAATATAAATCTGTTAATAGATACACAACATAAAATAATATTTAATACCAATAACAAACTGGAAAATATAGAGTCAAATAAGCTGAAAGTAACAGAATGGAAAAACTTTTTATTACATGCAAATATAACCACAATTGAGTAAGACACTCATAATTATATTAGACATTATATGCTTTAAGTCAAGTACTAGCATGAGACAAAGACTGATATTATACAATAGTAAAATGGATCAATTTACCAGGAATCTAAAACTATTATGCCTATTTATTTATGTGTATATGTATATACAACATTAGGGCTCCAAAATACGTAAAGCAAATATTGACAAAAGTGAAACAAGAAATACATAGCAACATAATAATTGTAGACATCAAGACCCCATTTTTAATAATAAATAGAAAATTCAGACAAAAGATCAATAAGAAAACAGAAAACTTAGACAACGTTACAGAATATATTATTTTGCACATAGAGGAATACCTGAGAGTGGATAATTTATAAATAAAAAGGCTTGTTTGGTTCATCGTTGGGCAGACTGTACAAGAAGTGTGTGCCGGCATCTGCCTCTGGTGGAAGGTTTCAGTAAGCTTCCACAATGGTGGAAGGCCAACAGTAACTGGACATATCACATAGTAAAAGACAGAACCAAATGTGAGGTGAAGGGGCCAGGTTCTTTTAATGAGGCAGCTCTCATCTGAATTAACAGAGTGTAAACTTTTTGATTACCAAGAGGATAGTACAAAGCCATTCATGAGAAATTTGCCCCATGATCTAAACATCTCCCACCAGGTTCCACATCCAACAGTGAGGATTACATTGCAGCATAAGATTTGAAGAACACGAACATCTAAACCACATCACAGACCAACTAGGATTAACAGACATGTACAAAACTTTTCAGTCAAAAGCAAGAGAATACACAACATTCTTATTTGCACCTTGTGTATTCTGTTAGGACACATAACAAATCTTATTAAATTTAAGAATACTGGCTGGGTGAACAGGCTCATACCTATAATCCCAACACTTTGGGAGACCAAGGTAGGAGGATCATTTGGAGCCAGAAGTTTGAGACTAGACTGGGCAACAAAGTGAGACTCTGTCTCTACAAATAATCAAAAAATTAGCCAGGCATAGTACTGCATGTCTGTAGTCCAAGCTACTCGGGAGGCTGAGGTGGAACAATCACTTGACCCCAGAAGGTTGAGGCTGCAGTGGGCCAAAATCTTGCTACTGCATTCCAGACTGGGTGACAGAGTAAGATTCTGCGTCAAAATAACAATGACAACAACAACAAATAAATTTAAGCAGACAAAAATTATACACTGTGTGTTTTCTGACCAAAACTGAATGCAACTAGGAATTAAAAGCAAAACTGGAAAATCCAAAATTACGTAAAAATAAAACACACCCTTCAACATATTCTTGCCCAAGTTTCAAAAAAATTAATTTTTCAAAGATGTCAATACAAACTACAGTGGCAAACAAATTCAATATAATCTAACTAGAAATCCCAATACCACATATTTTTACAGAAATATTGTTTAAAATTTGATTATAAACTATAGCCAAACACCCATGAAAAAGAACAGAGGCATTATACTTCCTGATTTAAAAACATAATAGGCCAGCAAGGTGGCTCACGTCTGTAATCCCAGCACTTTGGGAGGCCAAGGCAGGTGGATCATGAGGTCAGGAGTTCAAGACCAGTCTGGCCAACATACTGAAACCCCGTCTCTACCAAGAATACAAAAAATTAGCCAGGTGTGGAGGTGGGTGCCTGTAATCCCAGCTACTCCTGAACCTGAAAGGCAGAGGTTGCAGTGAGCCGAGATTATGCCATTGCACTCCAGCCTGGGAAACAGTGAGAGACTCTGTCTCAGGAAAAAAAAAAAATTAATAATAATAATATAAAAGCTACAATAACAAAAGCAATGTGGTACTGACACAAAAACAGATAAACAAAGAACAGAGTAGAGAGCACAGAAATCTGTATATGATCAAATGATCTTGTAAAGTTGCCATGAGCACACAATAGAAAAAAAGATAACCTCTTCAAGACATAATGTTGAAAACTGGATATCAACATGGATAAGATGAAGATGGATTATATCCTTGAACCACATATGAAAAATATTTTTAAATAAAATGCCCAGATATAAAAATGAAGGGGGAAAGACATGACATTTGTCTTGGCACTATTTTCCTAGATACGACATTAAACGCATGAGCAACAAAGAAAAGACAGTAAAATTTAACTGCATTACACTTCAAAGTTTCTGCGCATCAAAGAAAACATTCAATAGAGTGACAATGCCTCCTAGGAAATAGCTAAAAATATTTGCAAATCACATATCATAGAAGTTAACATTGAGAATGTATAAACAACTTGTAAAACTTAACAATAAAGTTGAATAATTTTATTTAGAAATGAACAAATAATTGAACTAAATTTTTCTCAAAAAGAATACACAAATGGGAAAAAGCATTTGAAAGGAAATGTGGCCAGGCACGGTGGCTCATGCCTGTAATCCCAGCACTTTGAGAGGCTGAGACGGGTGGATCACTTGAGGTCAGGAGTTCAAGACCAGCATAACCAACACGGTGAAACCCCGTCTCTACTAAAAATATAAAAATTAGCCGGGTGTGACGGCATGTGCCTGTAATCCCAGCTACTCAGGAGGCTGAGGAGAATTGCTTGAACCCCAGAGGCAGAGGCTGCAGTGAGCTCAGTTCATGCTACTGCACACCAGCCTGGAGCAAGACTCCACCTGGGGCAGGAAGAGTGGGGGGAGGGAAGAAAGGAAACACAAAATTACTAATTTGTAGAGAAATGCATAAAAATAACAATGAAAAACAAAATCACTTCACACCCATCAGAATGGCCACTATAAAATATAAAAAAACCCACCAAATTTGTTGCTGATGCAATGAAAATAAAACTCATACTAACTGGTGGAAAACAAGGATGCAGTCATTATTTTAAAATGTTATAAATGTTCCTCAGATAATTAAAACTGGAATTATCATTAAGTACAGCAATCACATTTATGAATGTATATCCGAACTATGCAACACAGAACCTGGGAGACATATTTGAGCATCCATGTTTATTGTACCAGTATTCACATAAGCCAAAAAACTGAAGCAACCCAGATGTCCCTTGATTTATAAACACATCAAAAAATGTAACATATACATATAATGAAATATTTTTTCAGACTTAAAACAGATTATCTTGTAACAATTTAAGATAACCTTTGAGAATATTATGTCCCTTTAAAATAAGCTAGTAATAAAATTATAGATACTATATTATTCCAGTTATATGAGATATCTTAAGTGGTCACACTCATAAAAACAGAAAGTGGAAGGGTGTTTGTCAAGAGCACCAGAGAGGGTAAAATGGGTTGCTGTTACTTAATGGGTATTGAGTTTGGTTTTACAAGACGTAAAATTTCTAGAAGTCTTTTGCATAACAATGTGAATATACTTAACATTCCTGAAATATAAAGCTATTTTTTTTTTGGAGACAGGGTCTCACTTCGTCACCTAAACTAGAGTGCAGTGGCACAATTATGGTTGACTATAGTCTGAAATTCCCAGGCTCAAGTAATCCTCTTTCTTCAATCTTCCAAAGATCTTGGACCACAAGTGCACACCAAAATGCCAGGCCATTTTAAAGAAATTTTTTGTAGAGAAGGAGTCTCCATATGTTGCCCAGGGTGGTCTCAAACTTTTGGGTTCAAGTGATCCTCTTTGTCTTGGCCTCTCCAAATCTCTGGGATTACAGATGTGAGCCACAACCATGCCTGGCCCTAAAATGTACACTTCAATAGATTTAAGATGACAAACTTTATGTGTTTTAAAAACAATTTTCTAAAGAAAAAAACTGAAAACAATATAGAATTATAAATCCTTTCAGGAATTACCTTCATATCACAAAGTGTTTTTTTTTTTTTCACATAAAGGAAATAGATATTCATTATTAAACGCATGGTAAAAATAAGAGTATCTCCATAACTACTCACTTAAACAAGATGAAACAACCACTGAAAATCAGCTAAGAGGTCAGGCACAGTGGCTCACATCTGTAATCCCAGCACTTTGGGAGGCTGAGGTGGGCGGATCACCTGAGGTCGGGAGTTCGAGACAAGCCTTACCAACATGGAGAAACCCCGTCTCTACTAAAAATACAAAATTACCTGGGTGTGGTGGTGCATGCCTGTAATCCCAGCAACTTGGGAGGCTGAGGCAAGAGAATCGCTTGAACCCAGAAGGCAGAGGTTGCGGTGAGCTGAGATTGTGCCATTGCACTCCAGACTGGGGGTCATATTTATAGATAAGCACACACACATATATAATCAGATTGTTATAGACATATGGCTGATTTGTATCTTAATTAAACCTCACATTGACTTAACGTGTACATACAGAATTGCAAGTTATTTAAAATTATAATGCATAAGTAAAAGCAAAAAACACAATAAACTGATGTTAAGAAACCTACACTACCTGGGAGTGGTGGCTCAGGCCTGTAATCTCAGCACTTTGGGAGGCTGAGGTGGGCGGGTCACTAGGTCAGGAGTCCGAGACCAGCCTGGCCAATATGGTGAAACCCCATCTCTACTAAATATACAAAAATTAGCCAGCCGTGCTGGTGTGTGCCTGTAGTCCCAGCTACTTGGGAGGCTGAGGCAGAAGAATCACTTGAACCAGGAGGCAGAGGTTGCAGTGAGCTGAGATCATGCCACTGCACTCCAGCCTGGGTGACAGAGCAAGACTGTCTCAAAAAACAAAACAAAAAACAAGCCTACACTAAAACACACTAATATGGAACTGCAAGACAGTAATAAATGTTTACTCCTAAACTCTGGTTTGCAATATTGATGTACCATTAAGAAAGAATGTGTCTAGACAACAATATTTGACAGTGTACTCATGGAAAGCAGGTACTTTGAATCATTGGCAGGCACTGTATGGCAGTAAAATTTCAGAGAAAATACAGTATAAGCATAAATAGAATATTGTAATGAGAAACTTTTTATAATCATTTAAAAGAAACGAGATAAATTTTGTTTTAAATATATGCATTTTTACACAAAATGAAAGTGCTGCAATCCAAATTTAGAAGCAAATAGCCTTAAACTGCTAAATAAAATACACACACACACACACACATATATATACACACACACACACACACACACACACATATAGCAGAATATGGTTAGAGCCTCTGATATATAAAACAAATATTTGGGAATAAATTATGCTATTATTTAGATTTAGGCTGAAGAAAGTGGGTGAATATCCTATAATTCCGTTTTGCCTGCAGCAAACTTAAATTTATAAGTAACTATTTTAGTAAATATGGAGTGCCTACTAATTGTATAATTTACTTCAGGCATAACATGTAAATTCTAGCATATTGTTCTAAATGTCTGAATCTAAAATTACAGAAAAGTTTGAAATGGAAAATAGAAAGAAAAATGTATATAGAGAGTAACATCAGCAAGATGGAAAAATAAAAGGTGCCCTACTTTCTTATGCCCCAACAGCAAGAAAATTTTTTCAGCCAATCCTGACAAAAATGCCCTTATGAGAGAGCCAGGCATCATGGCTCACCCCTATAATGACAGCTACATGGTACACTGAGGTTGGAGAATTGCTTCAGGCCAGGATTTCAAGAGCATCCTAGGACAAATGCAGTGGCTCATGCCTGTAATTCCAGCACTTTGGAAGGTTGAGGTGGGAAGGTTAACGTCAGAAGTTCAAGATCAGCTTATCCAACATGGTAAAACCATGTCTCTATTAAAAATACAAAAATTAGCCCTGTGTGGTGGTGTGTGCCTGTAATTTTAGCTACTTAGGAGGCTGAGGCACGATAATCACTTAAACCCAGGAGGAGATGGGAGTGAGCCAAGATCATGCCACTGCACTAAAGCCTGTGTGACAGAGTGAGACTCCGTCTCAAAAACAAAAAAACAAGACTAGTCTGGGTTCTGAAGCAAGACCCCATCTCCAAAATAAGTGCCTCTAAGAGCTTTGAGATCCAGGGAGGGACTTGTGAAACTGCTAAAGCCCAAGATTGAGGAGTATCCGTTTCGGAAGGCAGGCCCTCATTCAGGTGGCAATCTACAGAAACTCTGTTCTTGACTATAGACCAAAGAAATGGCCCACCCAGCTTGGTCATCCCAAACTCCTCCCAGCCACAGTATGAAAGAGGCCCTGCCCTTCCAGAGTCCTGGAGGAAGACATCAATTTATAGACATGCAGACAGGCCTGCAGACCTTGGCCTTTACTGTGGTCCCCAAAGCAGTTTAATGACTCAGTTCCAGCTCCCTAAGCCACAGTTTATGGCCAGTTCTGCCTACACAGAAACCCACACAGTGTCCCAGAGAAATGCTCTCTGGTATTCAGTGAAAGCCATACTCATCCACATCCTGATATAAGCCCTGCCATTAGCAGACTCGACTGCAGAAACCTGCCCTAGTGTCTGCCTTATATATAGAAGTCCTGAAGGATATTCAGTTTGTCCAAAAATAAAATGGGAGTTACAGCTACCCAAGCCTCTTATAACAAACCAACTAAAGGCGGACCCTAGTGCAGACCCAGCAGCCTTCTGATCAAGCTACAATTCCTCTGCACTATAAACTCAGAGGGCATCCCGTCACCCTGGGGGCCCAACAGAAGATCTTTACCTTCTGAAACTGGTTTATAAAAACTTGAAGAGGGCTGGGCGCTGAGGCTCATGTCTATAATCCAAGCACTTTGGGAGGCTGAGGTGGGTGGATCACGAGGTCAGGAGTTTGAGACTCGCCTGGCCAATATGGTGAAACTTCGTCTCTACTAAAATACAAAAAATTGGCCAGACGTTGTGGTGCACGGCTTTAGTCACAGCTACTTGGGAGGCTGAGGCAGGGGAATACTTGAACGCAGGAGGCGGAGGTTGCAGTGAGCCGAGATCGTGCCACTGCACTCCAGCCTGATGACAGAGTGAGACTCCGTCTCAAAAACAAAAAACAAAAACCCAAAAAACAAAACAAACAAAAAAACCCCAAAAACTTGAAGAGCTGTTTGCTCATTCAAATTCATATACACCAATGCAAAACTATATTGTGCTCATCGTAAAATGTGAAATAGAGGTTCCTTTTCAAAGGGACTTTCCTCCTCGTGTAATTAGGAATAAATAGTAACTTCTCTTAGAAGCAAAATGTATTCAAACACCTGTGCTGACATTCTTAGATATCTGCTAGCCGTGATAAAGAAATCAATGTACTTTGTGTTCTTAGCTCCCACATTTTAGCCTAAATATTTGCCCTGGCATGCTTATACTGGTCCAAGCAAGCATTAGGTCATAGCCTGTTCCTATTCCTTATCTGGAGGTGTTTTTACCTTTCTCAGCATCCACAAGTTGCTCCCTCCTTCCTTTGTTCTCCTCTGCCTTTGCCTCTTTTAGAAAGTTCTAAGTTGCTAGCCAACTGGGACAAATACAGAATGTGAGGTCCTGTTGTAGCCAATGGAAACCGGACACAGCAGTAGGGTGGACCCATCAGGTTATAAATGACCCTGCCTCCTTTGTTTAGTGTATTCTCTTGGCAAAACTGCTGGCGAGTGTACTCTTTCTGCAGAAAGTAAACTAGCCTTGCTGAGAGATCCTTTGTCTCTCAAAGGATTTTTGTGACACCAAGCACCCATTCCCAATACCATTGTCAATGTTTCTATTTTAATATAGCACTGGAAGTATGTGGCAGAAGAATTAGTAAAAAAATTGTTTTAAAGCCATTGAAATTGAAGACAAATAAGTAAAAGTTGCTGGTTGTAGATCATATAATCTTATATATAGAAAACCATGAATAGTACATTAAAACCTGTCTAAACTAATAAATACACCCAGTAAATTAGCAAAGTATAAAATTAACATACAAGTATAAATTAGGGTTCCATATACATAAAACAAACTATCTGATAAAGAAAACAATCTTATTTATAATAGCATCAAAATAATAAATTTCTGAGAACAAATTTAACAAAAGAGGTAAAACATTTTTATACTGGAAGATATAAGATATCATAGAAAGAAACTAGAGAAGACACAAATAAATTTTAAAATATTTTATGTCTATGCATTGAAAGGATAAATATTGTTAAAGTGTCATATTATACAAAGTAACCTATAGATTCAACAAACTCCCTATCAAAATTCTAGTGGTGGCCAGGCATGGTGGCTCACGCCTGTAATCCTAGCACTTTGGGAGGCCAAGGCACATGGATCACCTGAGGTTGGGAGTTTGAGAACAGCCTGACCAACATTGAGAAACCCTGAGGCAGAGGTTGCGGTGAGCCGAGATCACACCATTGCACTCCAGCCTGGGTAACAAGAGCGAAATAAAAAAAAAAAAAATTCTAGTGGCATCTTTTACAGTAATGAAAAATACAATTCTAAAACATACATGAAACTATAATAAACTTTGAATAGCCAAAGCAATCTTGAGGTAAAAGAACAAAGCATAGGGGCATCATACTTTATAATTTCAAACTATATTTCAAGAATGTAGTAATACAAACAGGATGGAATGTGCAGAAAAACAAACAAAAAAACCCCCAATGGAACAGAAACCACTACTCACATATTTCAAACATGATGCAAAAATACAATTAAAAATATTGCTTAACATAGACTTTTTCAAAATTATGCAGATATTTGTGTGTCCCCCAAAACAATGAAAAAGCAGCCAGACTGCGCAGTCTCTTATATGCCACGAAGAGGACTTTGGCTCTAACTGCAAACTTGAAGATCACCGAAGGAAAAGTAGAATCCTTAGAAAATTTAAAAGTATAAGACAGAAGATGCCCCCATGTGAGAGCAAAAAAGAAAGAAAGAAACCTCAGGCTTCTGAGAAACTATTTTCTTTGGAACACAGCTTCCTAAATCACATTTTAAGGACTGGCTTTCTCTTTGGCCTTTGGACCTCTCATGTGTCATCTGCTGTATTCATTTTCACTTTCACCTACCTGTGGGTTTGGCCACCATGATCTCATGTCTCTTCATACTCCAGGCCTCTTTCCCTTGCTCCAGACAAGTGATCAGGTCTGGCTTAGAAACAGTAATACCTGTTTTATTAAAAATAAATAATATAAATCTTGCTCATATTCTCTAATGACCAATCTAGTAATGTGCTTAGCTAGTAAATTAATCCCAAAATACTAATTTATAACAGACATTTTCAAATATTTAAAAAATATTTTTGATTTGTAGGTTCTTTTTTTTTTTTTTTTTGAGATGGAGTCTCACTCTCATTCTGTCACCCAGGCTGGAGTGCAATGGCGTGATCTCAGCTCACTGCAAGCTCCGCCTCCTGAGTTCATGCCATTCTCCTACCTCAGCCTCCTTAGTAGCTGGGACTACAGGACTACAGGTGCCTGCCACCACACCCAGCTAATTTTTTGTATTTTTAGTAGAGACGGGGTTTCACCGTGTTAGCCAGGATGGTCTCGATCTCCTGACCTCGTGATCCGTCCGCCTCAGCCTCCCGAAGTGCTGGGATTACAGGCGTGAGCCACCAAGCCTGGCCCAGTTTCTTAATTTTACTATCCAGTACTATTGAATCAAAAATTGGTGTTGGCAATTACATTTTAAGGTGTGGGCAAAAATTTTATGCCATTAAATTTGTGGAATTTAGTAATCTACAGTGAAGGATACAGATCAGCTCAGAAATTTGGAAAGTTAAGGTCAAAATGAAACATCTTGCAGAAATTCTTTTCTACATGTATTAATCCCCAAGATTTTCTTGAAAACAGGGATCTGAAACTAATTTATGCAAAGCACACTTTACCAGAAAAACATTCCACAAATAAAAGAAATAAAACCTTTAGGGCATATTAGAAATTGTGTATTGAAGTTATCCTCACCCAGGAAGACCAGGTTTCTGTAGTTCTCTAACATCACATTTCTATATAAATTCCGCTGTGCAGTGTCCAGGCATTGCCACTCCTTCAGAGAGAATTCTATGGCCACATCCCTAAATGTCAATGGTCCCTGAAAGATACACACACATACACATACACACACACACACACACACACACACACACACACACACACATAATTACCAACTGGTTATGAAAAGCATTTTTAATTTTACTCAAGGTGAAATGAGAGAGTACAGGTAACTGTTTCTGACTTACAGGAGTGACTAAAATTATAAAATAAAATAATTTTTTTAACACAGAAATATTCTCTAATATATTTTTTAACTCTAAGAAAAGAGAGTGGCATAAGATCCACAATACCAGTGTATACATGATACTTTTCTGGATGATATAGTATAAAATTAAGGGCATAAAAATGTGTATTTTTGGATGCCATATACACATTCTACAGAATGAGTTGTGTATATTTTTCAGATGGAAAAGACAGGTTGAGTTAGAAGGTACTTTTTAAATTTTAATGTGTACAATAAACTGGAGAACTTGTTAATGCAGATTATTTTTTCAGATGATCTGGAATAAAGTCTGATTGTCTGAATTTCTAACAAGCTCACCAGTAAGGTTAATGTTTTTGGCCAAGAAGAATATTTTGTCAAACATCCAGTAAGGGGAAGAACCTGTGTTTTTCCTAATTTTTCTGGCCTGTAAACAAAGATAAGAGCTTTGACTTTCCAAAGACAGATGTATGCAAAAAAAAAAAACTAAGAAAAAAGGGCAGCTGCTGGATTAACTGTGATGGTTTATGCACATTAGCTGCATTAAGATAATAATGAAGAAAAAATAATTATCTCTATAGTGACAAAATCTGTCAGAGAGCTCTTTAACCAAGTGAATCATTAACATGAACTGCACTAGGACAAATTTTTTTTTTTTTTTTTTTTGAGACGGAGTCTCGCTCTGCTGCCCAGGCTGGAGTGCAGTGGTGCAATCTCAGCTCACTGCAAGCTCCGCCTCCTGGGTTCACGGCATTCTCCCGCCTCAGCCTCCCAAGTAGCTGGGGCCACAGGTGCCCACCACCATGCCCGGCTAATTTTTTTTTTTTTTGTATTTTTAGTAGAGACGGGGTTTCACCATTCCCAGGATGGTCTAGATCTCCTGACCTTGTGATCTGCCTGCCTTAGCCTCCCAAAGTGCTGGGATTACAGGCTGAGCCACCGCGCCCATCCTAGGACATATTTTTATGATGTGTTGATGCACATGAAATGACACAGCATCACGGCTGTGATACTGCTCCTCCAAACTATAGTCTGAATTTTAACATTAAAAAATCAGTTTTATGCAAAGTTCAGGATACAGATATCTTCCCTGTCTATAATTTGTAATAGTAATTTTAAATCATCTTTCTTTAGCACCCTAGAGAGCAGGTATCTCCTGATAATTTTTTTTTTAGAACTTTCTGGGTAATAAATGTCATCTTGTTTAACTAAGCATTTCCTTGATCCTGTTTTGCACAGAGGTAATGGAGAATACAGATGGAACCTCAACATTACATGTTTTCCATCTTTACAAATGACTCCAGCTTTCCCCCAATAGAAATCTTGAGTATCCACACCTTTTCATGTTCAAGAGCCACAAAGGGAACATTTTTAATAGTGCAGATTATAAATTTGTGGTAGGAATTCTGCATGGCATATAAAAAGCCACAATGTAAAGAATGTAGAAAGGGCTCTGGTATATAGAAAAAAAATACTTTTCAGACACCCTTGACTATCATAAGAATTTTTACAAGTAGTTAAACTCTTTAGGGAGGGGTAATACAATAGAGAAGTAATGATTTGCATGGCATTCTAGGAGGCAAAGTGGACACAGCTCTTGATCTGAGACATGTTTTGCTTTAAAAAAAGAAGCCATTTTTTTCCTCTTTTTCCTCCTTTTCTGGGAATCCTTTCCAGATGAGATTCTTTGAACAAATTACAGCTGCATGTTGAGAATATGTCTTTAAAGATGTCAACATCAACTGCTCATCTGCTACCACCAGACCCACAGGCAGAAGGATCAAGACCTGCAGAAAAAGCTCACTCATTTATGTCCTTTATAATGGAAGAGATTCAGGAACAATGAGCTGCTCCATGGGTATCAAAATATGTTTCACTTTTCCTGTTCTCAGGTGCCCTCCCCTGTCACAGACACCAGCAATTTCTGCTACAATAATGAAAATATGGGCCATGGCCGGGCTTGGTGGCTCACGCCTATAATCCCAGTACTTTGGGAGGCCGAGGCAGGCAGATCCTGAGGTCAGAAGATTGAGACCATCCTGGCTAACACGATGAAACAGCATCTCTACTAAAAATAGAAAAAATTAGCCAGGCGTGGTGGCATGTGCCTGTAGTCCCAACTACTCGGGAGGCTGAAGCAAGAGAATCGCTTGAACCCAGCAGGCAGAGGTTGCAGTAAGCCGAGATTGCACCACTGCACTCCAGTGAAACTGCACCTCAAAAAAAAAAAAAAAAAAAGAAAAAGAAAAAGAAAAAGAAAATATGGCCACATTGCTCTGTCCCTACCAAATCCAAACAGAAACAGTCCTGCGGCCACCCTTTAGTGCAAAGGTGGAACTTAACTCATGAATGTATCTGGAACACCTCATACTTGATTCTGGCCTCAACTTAAGAGTCACATGAGGCACTTCATTACTACAACATGACTGCTTCCCCCTAGAACAATAAACAGAATCTGTGGAAAGGGCACAAGTAAAGAGATTTCTGCAAATTGGCCATGGAATCCTAATGAGAAGCCTGGGCTGATAACCACTTAGCTAAGCATTGCCTCTCAAGTTTTAATGAGCTTATAAATCACTTGGTAATTTTGGCTCCATTCTATGTAATATGATTCTGCAGGTTTGAAAAGAGTCCATGAATAGGTAACAACCCTGTCAGTGCTGATGTTGCTTCCCTTGGGCTCATTATTGGCATTAGAGAAAGCAGGCACAGCACAGGTTCCCTTACACTCAGCACTCTTGTCACAACCAAATACTTCTGGTACAAATAAAGACAACCCATCTCTGCCAGGCGCAGTGGCTCATGCATGTAATTTCAGCACTTTGGGAGGCCGAGGCAGGTGGATCACCAGAGGTCGGGAGTTTGAGACCAGCCTGACCAACATGGAGAAACGCAGTCTCTACTAAAAATACAAAAAAATTAGCTGGGTGTGGTGGTGCATGTCTGTAATCCCAGCTACTAGGGAGGCTGAGGCAGGAGAATCATTTGAACCTGGGAGGCAGAGGTTGTGGTGGGCCAAGATCGTGCCATTGCACTCCAGTCTGGGCAGCAAGAGCGAAACTCTGTCTCTAAATAAATAAATAAAATCCATCTCCATCCTTAAGTATCATATTCTTTGCTGGCTCATTAAAGTTTACAGAGGAAACAGAAGGCAGCAATGTTTGAATAAGCCTGCATTTGGCAACAACATGTACACCTGTACTAATGCAAGATATATTAAGCAGGAACTATGTACTCAAAAGGATGTTAAAAAGCACTGTGTTGGCCATAACACATTACGTGATTTCATCATCATAACACCCTGAAAGATGTTATTAAGTGTTTAATAATTCTTAGGATTTAAATAAAGAGCCCTGCCTTTCCATTTCTTCTTGTTTCTCTGTCATTGATTTTTTTTAATTGCATAGAAGAAAAGCTAAATATAGACAGATGAGAGGAATACAGAAAGGAAAGTTTAATGTATTTTAGAGAAGTTTTTTACTGTGTTTGTATTTAATTTTATGTGACTTGCAGAGCAACTACTGGATTTGCAAAAATAGAAAACAAGTTGTTAAATAGAATGTTTCTGCAAGCACTCACTTTAATACAAAATTTAAAAATTAAGACCCTAAAATACATACTTTATTTTTACCATTTATCTGTTTTGGGGTTTAAGGAAATTGTGAGCATGAACTCTAGAAAGGCAGAAGGATTCACCAGACAAAAACTCTGATTTCTTTTTTTTTTTTTTTTTTTTTTGGGACGGAGTCTTGCTCTGTCACCCAGGCTGGAGTGCAATGGCATGATCTCAGCTCACTGTAACCTCTGCCTCCTGGGCTCAAGAGATTCTCCTGCCTCAGCCTCCCAAGTAACTGGGATTACGGGTGCATGCCAACATACCAGGGTAATTTTTGTATTTTTTAAGTAGGGATGGGGTTTCACCATGTTGGTCAGGCTGGTCTCGAACTCCTGACCTTATGATCTGCCTGCTTTGGCCTCCCAAAGTGCTGGGATTATAGGCGTAAGCCACCACGCCTGGCCCAAAACTTTGATTTCTTCTAACAAATTGTGTGAGGCAAGACTCCAGGGTGGGGCCAGACCTAAATAAGGCCTCCAAATAGGTTAAATCTAAACAGAACTGGGGCAGGGAGAGGACCCTATGTAGAACTCTGTTCTCTATGCCACTAGGGTATTTCCAGTTCTGTTTTTCCTAAGCTTACCTAAGAGAAACTTAAATCCCAGAGTTTGTGTAATCTTAATCTTTTTAAGCCAAGCCACTGCCCCCTCAATTTTATAACATATACTAAGAAATTTAAAGAAATATTTTAAGGTTTTCTAGGGTAATTTTATTATAAGATACATATGTATTCTTAGCAAGGTTAAAGAAATAGAAATAGGCTGGGTGCAGTGGCTCATGCCTGTAATCCCAGCACTTTTGGAGGCTGAGGTGGGATCACAAGGTCAGGAGTTTGAGACCAACCTGGCCAAGATGGTGAAGCCCTGTCTCTACTAAAAATACAAAAATTAGCCAGGTGTGGTGGTGTGCACCTGTAGTCTCAGCTACTTGGGAGGCTGAGGCAGAAGAATTGCTTGAACCTGGGAGGCGGAGGTTGCAGTAAGCTGAGATCATGCCATTGCACTCCAGCCTGGGTGACAGAGCAAGACGGTGTCTCAAACAAAAAAAAAAAAAAGAAGAGATCAGTTTTTGTCTAGTGAATCCTGTCACTGTACTCCAGCCTGGGTGACAGAGCAAGACTCTATCTCAAAAAAAAAAAAAGTAAGAGCTAAATAAGAACACGTACACAAAGAAAGAAACAACAGACACTGAGGCCTAGTAAGGGTGGAGGGTGAGATGACAAGGAGAATTTGAATAAATATTGGTTTGGTGCTATGCTTAGTACCTCTGTGAGAAAATAATCTACACCAAACCCCCGTGACACAATTTTACCTATATAAGAAACCTGCACGTGTACCCCTGAACCAAAATCAAAAGTTAAAAGAAAAAAACTTCATGGGTGGGGTAAAGTGCAATGTAGGTGGAAGGACTGTAGGTTTTTGCTACAGACAGCGGTCCCGGTGGGGCTGTACTCTGATTTATTTGTGCCTGTGCAGGCAGATGAGATTATGAACAGGTGGTCCAGAACCCTAGGTTGGTGGAGAAAACAGTTTGCTGCTGCAGATTCAGTGTCTGGGGGTTGGGATATGCCAGGAGACTTGTAGACACTCTTGTGGGATTTTGGCAAGAAATACTAGGATCCACAATGCTGTGGTGAAATTCCTGAGGATGATGACTAGTCTTGAGAGGGATGTGGACACGTCAATGTCTAGTGTGTGTGAGTGGGTGGGACTCCTGTGGTGGCAGCTGCAAGAAAAGGGGGTCTGTCATCAGAGGTCCTTTCCTCTAAGTTTTCAGTCCACAGTCACCCTGGGAGGAGACCTGGAATCACAAGACAATGGGCAGTGTGACAGCCTGTGTACAGGAGAGCAGAGCCTCCCCTTCCCAGACACCCAGAGTTCCATTCGAGGCCAGGCCTCTGTGATATCTTTTTTCTGGTATCAAATCTATAGAGTTTGCTGAACACAAAGCAATTCTCCAGCACCTACTCATTATCTGAAATTTGAATTCTGACACCACCCAGAGTCAGCACAGACCCCGATTCAGGGTTCAGTCCCACAACACTGCCCTCATTACAGATGCCAGTCACAAACCCCATAGGCCCACCTATGCTTCTGAGCTACTGTTTAAAATTTGGGGATTCCCATAACCTCCCTCTAGTTCAATAATTTGATAGAGCTACTCACAGAACCCAGCAAACTCTGTAGTTTATTATAAAAGATACAACCCAGAAGAAGTCAAATGAAAGAAATGTATAGGACAAAAAAAGAGGTGGGGAAAAATGAAACACATACATAATCCTGGAAAATAGCTGTGATTAATAAAAGTCATCCTTTGTGTGCTCCAGCAACAGTTTATGAAAAGAAACACTTTTTTTCCCCCTCAGATGGAGTCTTGCTCTGTCGCCAGGGTGGAGTGTAGTGGCATGATCTCGGCTCACTGCAACCTCCGCCTGCCGGTTCAAGCGATTCTTCTGCCTCAGCCTCCCAAGTAGCTGGGACTACAGGCACACACCACCACGCCCAGCTAATTTTTGTATTTTTAGTAGAGACAGGGTTTCACCATCTTGGCCAGGCTGGTCTTGAACTCCTGACCTCGTGATCCTCACGCCTCAGCCTCCCAGTGTTGGGATTACAGGTGTGAGCCACCATGCCCAGCCAAAAACACCCTTCTTATTATGACTTAGAAGACACTCCCTTTTCTTACCTATCACATAGCCAGATACATACTGTACACATTTTCTTCCTTTTCTCATTAAAAAAATGAGCTGAATTTGTCTTCACTGGTCTAAATAAAATACTTTTTTTTTTTTGAGACACTTTTGATCTTGTTGCCCAGGCTAGAGTGCAATGGCGTGATAACAGCTCACAACAACCTCCACCTCCTGGATTCAAGGGATTCTCCTGCCTCCGCCTCCTGAGTAGCTGGGATTACAGGCATGCACCACCACGCCTGGCTAATTTTGTATTTTTAGTAGAGATGGGGTTTCTCTGTGTTGGTCAGGCTGGTCTCAAACTCCTGACCTCAGGTGAAATGCCCATCTCAGCCTCCCAAAGTGCTGGGATTACAGGTGTGAGCCACCACGCACAGAAATAAAATACTTCTTAATCAAACTTAAGTTTATTTTTTTCCCACAGGCTCCTGAACTTTGAGCTACCCTGAGTGTGAGTCAACATACAACCCCATTTTATGTCCCTCCTATGAACATGCTGACTTCAGGGTAAAACATTATCTGATCTAAAATCTGATTTTTTTCACACTCCATTTGCCACTCCCCTCCCACCTTTTTTCTAATCTTTTATGCTCCTCCCTAGGAAACAAAGCCTTTGTCTGCCTAAACTTTGCAAGCCATAAAGATGATATAGTTGGTACTTCCTCCTGTTGCAATATTCCTTTGGAATTCAATTTTTTTTTTTACACAAATCTAACTTTGTTTTATTTTACAAAGTCTAGACAGTGCCTCAAAACAATAAAAAACTTTATCATCAGTGAGACCCTCCCAGTTTCCTTTCATCTTAACCTTAACTGCATCTGCCTGTGGGGCCCCAGCTTTCCAAGGCTTTGGAGCTTCTCTCAGGATGGAAAGACTTCTTCCATGGCTGGGGTGAGCAGGCTGGGACATCTGCAGGGGAGGCTCCCCAGAAAGAACTAACTGGGCCTTTAATAATCTTTTTTTTTTGTAGGCTCAATATTAGCCTTAGGTTGGAGTCACTGGGTTCAAGCTTTAATTTCCATGTCAGATTTATTCCCTTGGTTTTTGAAACTGAAAACTCCAATGAAATCACTCAAACACAGTGTTCATATAAAAAAAGAAAATTTTTGGTGCTTACATTTTATACCTCAATTAGAAAAGCAAAAGCATTTATTCCTTTCAGACAATAAATGTATTATTTTATTATTTCTATAAAAAATCATGTAGTAAACAATTAGTCATGGGAACACTTCTAGGAGGTACCAAGTTTCATCTCATAAAATTTATCATGAAACTTAAAAATCAAGATAACAGGATATGGGACAGAAATATTCACTGTCACAACTTTACCCTGCAAAAAGAGAAATTTGTGTTTTCATGAATCTATGTAACTCACCAATTATATACCACATTTTCTTGTGGAAATCTATTTATTTTCTACAGCCAAAATGGAAGAGAGATTTTTCCTAATTTTTTCCCTGATAACATTCTAAAAGCTAAGCCTTGGAATTCTGTTTAAAATCACCCAGCCATAAGCACACCTGAGAAAATTTTTAAACTCACTCTGACAAAGGAACAAGTAAATGAGAATTCTTAACAAATGGAATATATGATTAGATTTTAATTTTTTTCTAAAACCCACTTCTTTTACACCCTGTGCAAATATTTTTGTGCCTTTTAAACTTTACTAATCAAATGCAATTTACAATTAAAAGAAGCTGAAGTCAAAATAAGTGAACAAATCTTTTCAAGGTGACAAACCCACAGAGGGACAGTGCTGATTAGAAAAGAGATGTGTCTGACCTATGTGTCAAGTCAGGCCGTTCAATCACTTGAAAGATTCTCCCACCCGCTCCTGCTCACTAAAGTTCTCAATGACCAACCTCTCAAGAGACACTACACTATGCCCCAGTGACTGCCCCAAGTGCATTTTACTTTGCAAGTTCTTGCACCATCTCACTGGGGTGACCTTTTTTTTGTCTTTTGGGATACTATTTTTTCTTTCACAAATCTTAGAGAATCCAGGGGGTAAAAATTATTTCTGCATTTTTCTCTCAATGTGTCTCCAAGAAATAGAAGCTGGGTTGGGTGAAGTCAATCTTTTTTTTTTTTTTTTGTATACAGTCTCGCTCTTTCACCCAGGCTAGAGTGCAGTGGCATGACCTTGGCTCACTGCAACCTCCACCTCCCGGGTTCAAGTAATTCTTCTGCCTCAGCCTCCCTAGTAGCTGGGATTACAGGTGTGTGCCACCAGGCCTGGCTAATTTTTGTATTTTTAGTAGAGATGGGGTTTCACCATATTGGCCATGCTGGTCTCAAATTCCTGACCTCGCGATCCGCCCGCCTCGGCCTCACAAAGTGCTGGGATTACAGGTGTGAGCCACCGCGCCCAGCTGGGTGAAGTCAATTTTAATGTCTCAAGGAGTTAGCTTTTCAAAGGAAGAGTACACCAGGAGACTGCACTCAGACCCTGGGTATCTACCTGCTCCCTTGATAGGATACACTTCATACCTCAGGTTGTCCTATGAGAGAAAATGACCCAGGAGCTGATATTCACTAGACACTCTAGCCAACATAGCCACAATGGTGGGCATCCTGGTTTATCCCCATACAGTACTGAAAACCCAGGACCAGGAAAAAACTGAAGAGTGGCTGATGACCCATCACACCATAAAGTCTCCAAACGGAAACCTTGACCCACCAATATTCTGATAAGAACTCTGTGCCTAGGGAAGATAAAAGGAAAAGAGACACAGAGATTTTTTTACAATATGGTGTCAGGGATTATTATTCACTTTCTTCTCATGGGAAATATTTACAAACAGAAGACAATTTTTTAAATAGTGCCATCCAATGTTTTGTGGAAGAATTATTAATTGAAATATAAAATGTACAATAAAGGACAAATAATTGATAATGTGTATCAGAGAGGGGAAGGTGGCATTTGGGAATGTCAATGACACTGGAAATTTAGTATTTTACTGTAAATCAGAGTTAATCTGGAAGAACAGGGAGTAAGAAGTAGACTTGAGACCCTGCTTGAGACATATGTGAAAAATGCAGGGGAAAAGAAGTCCCCTGTGGACTGTGAAAATGATTCAGTGGCAGGCAATTAGACTGAGGTGGCTCTAGTCCCTGGGGTCCTCCTTTTTAAAAAAATCTAACTAAAATTTCATTTTTTAGTAAATTACCACATCGGGGAAAACAAAATTCAGGCTTAACCAACTATAAACTGCCAATTAAATTCTGATCACATAACCAGAAAATTGCCAACACGATCGTACAAATTAAGAGACTATATAACTGTACCTAACCAATTACTAATTTGATTTTTTTATCATGCACCTTATAAAAGTCTTTTATTCAAGCTCCTCCCATGGACCACAAACTACAAACCATAGCTGAGTGCTCTACAATACTTGAACCACTTTTTAAGTTCTTTAATATTTTTGCGGTGACTCCTATACATCTTTTTTTTTTTTTTTTGAGACGGAGTTTCACTCTTATTGCCCAGGCTGGAGTGCAGTGGCGCGATGTAGGCTCACTGCAACCTCCGCCTCCCGGGTTCAAGCGATTCTCCTGCCTCAAACTCCTGAGTAGCTGGGATTGCAGGCGCGCGCCACGACGCCCGGCTAATTTTTGTATTTTTAAAAATTGAGACGGGGTTTCACCATGTTGGCCAGGATGGTCTTGAACTCCTGACCTCAGATGATCCGCCCGCCTCGGCTTCCCAAAGTGCTGAAATTACAGGCGTGAGCCACCACGCCCGTCCCCCCATACATTTTTAACAGAAAAAAAGAGGAACTGGGAACCCCACAGCCCAAAGCTCTTTCATGAACCCGCACCCCGAGTCAGGATTCTCCCCTGACAACCCTCCCGTGGTCCCTGCTCAATCTGGGAGAGACGCGGTGCTGCGAATGCAGAGCTGCCCAGAGAGGGCTCCAGTCCAGGGCACAGTCACTGCGCAGGGAAGAGACAGGACGCCCGGGCCGGCTGTCAGCGCAGCCGCCATCTTATGGCTGGAGGAACTGGGGCCGAGCTGGGCAAAAAGAACTGGAGCGCAGATTGTGGAGCTGACTACAGGGAGGCCTGAGTCCCGCCACAGCCGCTTCCCACCGGTTTCAACCAACCCCTTTCCCCCTCGGGATGGCGGACCTGGCACTCTCACCATTTCTAGGCTTCCAGGGGGTCCCGGCGTCTTAGCTGTGGATCTCCCAATACCTGCAGGCCACAGGGCCACAGAGGCTGGGCGTCCACGAGCAGAAAACACAAAGCAGGGAAAACAAGACCTAGAGCTCAGGCTGCAGCGAGAGACAAAGGCCCCGCCACATCCCGGAAGCCGCCCTATCCGCACCAGCTGCGTTCCTGATTGGACGGTTCCCAGCCCAGCGTCTCTGATTGGATGATATTTAAGGCACCTTCTTTTCAGGCCCTGAGTGACAGAAGATGTGATCAGATGCTGGGCTGAAAGAAGAGCGAGTGACAGCCTAGGCTGCAGCCTTTTCAGACAGGGCTTCCTTCCTGAGCTGAGCCAGGCTCACACCAGAGAGTATTTGCCCTTACCTTGTGTATCAATTTATATGCATTCAAAAATAATATATTATATGGCTATTCACAAATGAACAAAGTATAACAACAATTGTTCTAAAATTTTAGATTTTATGACCTTCCTGTATTCTGGTCCTTTGAACAGGCAATCCTCTGAAATAAAATGTGAGTCACAGGTGAATTTTAAATTTTCTAGTAGCCAAACTTTAAAAAGAAAGAAGAAACAAGTGGAATTGATTGTAGCAATTTATTTAACCCAATATATTCAAAATATTTTCATTTTAATATGTGAGCAATATGTAATTATTAATGAAATATAAATACATTTGAAACAAAATCTTTGAAACTAATTCTGTATTTTACCTTTCTAGCACATCGCAGTTCAGACCAGCCACATTCCAGGCACCCAGGAGCCACACATGGCCAATAGCTGCCACATTGAAGTACAGCTGTGATGTCAGTGGGGGTGGAGGGCCTGAACACCCCTTTTCTGCCACAGGTGAGGGGACAGCCTCTATTTATCAACGTCTCTTTTCAGTTCCGAGGGTGAAACAAATAGTGGCTATAGAAAAAGCTGATGGCAGCAGGAATAAATCACAGGTAAACCACTGCTTACCACCTGTTGCCCATCTTTCTTTCAGAGATCAGACAGTGAGCAAAGGATGATGGGCCACAGGAGAAAAAAAACTATGTCTTCAGATCTGTTCACAGTCTTGACCTTTAATGTTTACATAGGAAGAAAATAGATTAAAGGCAAACTTATTTTGCTATTTGACCTCGACTCTAATGTTCAGGCTGTGGTTACCTGTTTTCTTCTGTGGTGTGGGAAACTGAGTGAATATAAGCACAATCACATGCATACATGTCCACATGTATTTCGGCATTTCTTTTTTTTGAGATGGAGTTTCACTCTTGTTGCCCAGGCTAAAGCGCAATGGTGTGGTCTTGGCTCACTGCAACCTCTGCCTCCTGGGTTCAAGCAATTCTCCTACCTCAGCCTCCCGAGTAGCTGGGATTACAGGCATGCACTACCACGCCCGGCTAATTTTTTGTACTTTTAGTAGAGACGGGATTTCTCCATGTTGGTCAGGCTGGTCTTGAACTCCTGACCTTAGGTGATCCAACCGCCTTGGCCTCCTAAAGTGCTGGGATTATAGGCATAAGCCACCACCCCTGGCCATATTTCTGCATTTCTCAACATTATCTTACAAGACATCTAACTTTAAATCGGGAAAAATATCAGTACTTTTATGGTGCCCAATGTTAGAAGGTAACTAGTAATCAACCTGTTATTAAATCTTGGCATTCTATCTGCACTGGGTGCACATATTAGTTAACTATGGCAGCATAATGAACCATCCAAAACTGATTTGCTCATAATTGAAATGCTCAGCCATTTAGGCTGGGCTCAGTGGGGCCATTCTTCTGTTCTCAGCTGAGCTCCTTCAGACATGTATCATGAGCTGCTCATTGACTAGGAAAGCAGCAGCTGTGCTTGTAGAGGTGAGCTTCTGCTTCTGGGACTGTCAACAGGGATACCTTACTTCTCCTCTTCATAGTATCTTATACTCCAGTTGGCTAATATGGGCTTTTTTCTTTTCTTTTTTTGAGACGGAGTCTCGTTCTGTCGCCCAGGCTGGAGTGCAGTGGTGCGATCTCTGCTCACTGCAAGCTCCACCTCCTAGGTTCAAGTGATTCTCATGCCTCAGCCCCCTGAGTAGCTGGGACTACAGGTGCCCACCACCACACCCGGTTAATTTTTTTGTATTTTGAGTAGAGACGGGGTTTCACTGTGTTAGCCAGGATGTTCTCGATCTCCTGACCTCTTGATCTGTCCATCTTGGCCTCCCAAAGTGCTGCGATTACAGGCACCAGCCACCGTGCCTGGCCTAATATGGGCTTTTTTTCATGAATATGGCAGCATTCTGAAAGAAAAACAGAAGCAGGCCGGACATGCTGGCTCATGCCTGTAATTCCAGAACTTTAGTAGGCCAAGACAGGTGGATCACATTAGGTCAGAAGTTTGAAACGAGTCTGGCCAACATGGCGAGACCTCACCTCTACTAAAAATACAAAAATTAGCTGGGTGTGGTAGCATATACCTGTAGTCCTAGCTACTCAGAAGGCTGAGTCAGGAGAATTGCCTGAATCTGGGAGGTGGAGGTTGCAGTGAGCCAAGATCATGCCACTGCACTCCAGCCTGGATGACAGAGAAAGACTCCTTCTCAAAAAAAGAAAAAAACAGAGAAAAGAAAAGGAAAGAAAAGAAAAGCAGAAGCAGTCAAAACTGTTTGAGCCTAGGCTCCAAACCAACACATTGTCATGTTCTCAGGTTTCTACTGCCATGAGCAAATAAGGCCAGCCAGATCAAGCGTTTGGAAAATAGATTCTGACTCTTCATGGGAATGGCTGTAAAAGCACCTGTCAATGTACATGGATACAGGAGGGATGAAAAATTGCTACCATATTTGCAATCAGTATCCTTCTGCTTTTTTTTTTTTTTTTTTTTTTTTGAGATGGAGTCTCATTCTGTCACCAGGCTGGAGTGCAGTGGTGTGATATTGGCTCACTGCAACCTCTGCCTCCTGTGTTCAAGTGATTCTTGTGCCTCAGCCTCCCATGTAGCTGGTATTACAGGCCCACACCAACACACCCAGCTAATTTTTGTATTTTTAGTAGAGATGGGGTTTCTCCATGTTGGCCGGGATGGTCTTGATCTCCTGACGTCGTGATTCACCCAATTCAGCTTCCCAAAGTGCTGGGGTTACAGGCGTGAGCCACCATGCCCAGTCCATTCTGCTTTTTCTGCATATGTAGTCTGTAGAACTCTTCCACATCAAGAAATTGTCCAAACACTCACAGCTTCTAAGTGGCTGGGCCGGGACTCAGGATCAACTCTGTCTGACTTCAAAGCCTATGTACCTCCATGGATCACACTACTCAAGTAGCTGCCCTAGACTCTTAAAACCCTGGAGAGTGACACTTCTAAAATAAAAACCAGATTGCTTGTAGATTTGTGCCCATAAAGTACTATTTATTATTGGAAATAATCTCGAGAAATTACTGAAGCACATGGTGGCCTTAAATCCTTAATTCCAATACTTTGGGAGGCTTGGGAGGCTGAGATGGGAGAATCATTTAAGCTCAGGAGTTCAAGTGCAGCCTGGGCAACATAATAAGATCCTGGCTCAATAAAAGAAATTTAAAAAATTAACCAGGCATGATGATACTCAGGTGTCTAGGGCAGGAGGATTGTTTAAGACCGGAAGGTGGAAGCTGGATTAAGCCATGATTGATTACACGACTACACTCCAGCCTGGTTGATAGAGTGAGACTCTATTTCAAACAAAATGAAAAAACAAAAAAGAAATTGCAAAAGCATTTTGAAAGAACATAGAATAATTTGGAAAAAATAGCTGACATAGCTGATATAGAGTAATTTGGAAAACATAACTTATTTTAGATAATCAAAGCCCTACAACACATCACTTATTTTTTATCATAGAACAAATTTGAGGCCGGGCGTGGTGGCTCACACCTGTAATTCCAGCACTTTGGGAGGCTGAGGCGGGCAGATCACGTGATGTTGGGAGTTCGAGACCAGCCTGACCAACATGGTAAAACCCCGTCTCTACTGAAAATACAAAATTAGCCAAGCATGGTGGCTCGCTCCTGTAATCCCAGCTACTCAGGAGGCTGAGGCATGAGAATCACTTGAACTCGGGAGGCGGACATTGCAGTGAGCCGAGATCGCGCCACTGCACTCCAGCCTGGGCAACAGAGTGAGACACTGTCACACACACACACACACAAAAAAATATATATATATACACATATATATACATGTATATATACTTGTATATATATATGAAAGAAAACATTTGAAAACTTTTAAAAGAAAAATAACTTCAGAGAAATTAAATTTAACATAGTTTAATTAAGCAAATAATAATTTGCAAATTAAGTAGTCTGTGGGACCTGAGTAGCCTCAGAGAGAATCCAGCACAGCCACATGGTAAAAAAGATTTATGCACAGGAAAAGCAAAGTGACATACAGAAAATAGAAGTGGTACAGAAATAACCAGATTAATTACAGTTTGGGATTTGCCTTATTTGAATATGGCTTGAACAGTTGATGTTCTTTTATTGGCACAAACATAGTGGTTGGTACATGAATAGGTAACAATCTATTTAGATATCCAGTTAGGTTTTAGTTAACTATGTACAGAAAAACCTATTGACCGAAATTAAACATAAAAGGGGTTAACTTTAGGCTATAATTAATTTAACAATATTTCTCATTTGGTTAGCTTCTCAATTTTGAGAAATAACCCCAAACTTTAGACATCGATATTACTTTGTCACCATCAAAAATTTACTTATGGACGGGCATGGTGGCTCATGCCTGTAACCCCAGCACTTTGGGAGTCCAAGGCAGGCGGATCACAATGTCAGGAGTTCAAGACCAGCCTGGCCAATATGGTGAAACCCCATCTCTACTAAAAATATGAAAATTAGCCCATCGTGGTGGCGGGCACCCATAGTCCCAGCTACTCGGGAGGCTGAGGCAGGAGAATTGCTTGAACCTGAGAGGCAGAGGTTGCAGTGAGCCGAGATCATGCCACTGCACTCCAGCCTGGGTGACAGAGTGAGACTCCGTCTCAAAAAAAGGAAAGAAAAGAAAAGAAAAAAGATGTATTTAGTCTCAATTTCCACTGTAAAATAGTAGAACTGTGGGTTTTGTAAAGTGAAAAAAGGGACTTCAGGTTATTATTGTTTAAAAGGATTACAGTGGATGGGACCTCCTTGTATTGATATCTGCTGTTTGCAAAAGAAAAACAAGACCTGGTCAGTTTTAGAATCTACCTATTTCTTTAAATTTTCAGTTTAACTATGTCACATTTAGCATGAATGACTAATTGGTTCATTTTGGTCTGTTTGGGCCCAGTGAACAAGCTCAGTCCAGGATGATGGCCTCCAATAATTTTGTTTAAAAAGATTCCCCCCTTTTGATTAAGTTTTCACATAGATCGGAGTGTAACCAAACCTCAGAGTTTTAATGTCACTCTCAGTTTTCATTATTTTAGGTTTCCGTTCTTATCAGATCATTCATAGGTTATGGTGTTCTCATGGTCAAATACATCTTCAAGTTTTCATCATTCCAGTTAAAGAGAGATCACTTGGCATTCTAGAGATGACTGCATGCAAAGATTTATAATTTTTGAGAGAATAGAGTGCAGTAGGGTGACTATTATTTTGACTATCAGGAAAATAATATCAAGAGTTTGAAGTATGGATTTATTTATTTATTTATTTATTTATTTATTTATTTATTTATTTATTTATTTTGAGACGAAGTCTTGCTCTTGTCACCCAGGCTGGAGTGCAATGATGTGATCTTGGCTCACTGCAACCTCTGCCTCTGGGATTCAAGGGATTCTCCTGCCTCAGCCTCCCAAGTAGCTGGGATTATAGACTTGTGTCACCACAGCTGGCTAATTTTTGTATTTTTAGTAGAGACGGGGTTTCAACATGTTGGCCAGATTGGTTTCAAACTCCTGACCTCAAGTGATCCACCTGCCTTGGCCTCCCAAAGTGCTAGGATTACAGGCATGAGCCACCATGCTCAGCCTGAAGTATGCTTTTTAACCGAGGTCCCCATTGAACCAACCAACTATGATTAAATAGATCAAATGATTAGCTAGATAAGTGGTCTCCTCATTTCAACCAAGCAGTGTGTTCATTAATCCCCTACAACTGAATCTCTGTAATACTCGATGTATTTCTCCATGTGCAACTACAAATACTAGCAACTGCACAGATACTTCTCTGTTTATCCAGTAAGTAAACTAGATAAATTCTTTTATTTAGCACAACTTTAGTAAAAAATTTTAAAGTCTATTGGGTAACCATAGCCTTTACAGTAGAATCTGCTATTGAGCCTATTATGGAAGATAAATTTCCAACCATAGCCTCATTTACTCTAAGCCTTTGAAAGAAAGACCTAACGAATAATGACCACTCAGAAGAGTAATGGCCTCCTGGCAATGTGCTCTAACTTATTCTGCATAAGTTTCTCTTTAAGTCAATATTGCTCCAAGAGCAGTGGATAAATATTCTGTTTCTTATATTATGAGACAACAAATTTCCCATGTCACATTTAGCAAGAATGCGAGACATTTCTTATTTCTCACCTATAGTGGCCCTTCATCTTTTACCTATCCAGACATAAGTTTGTTGATATATAAGGTTAGTTGTGAAATTATTTACATATATAAGTATACCCCAAAAGTGCACACAAGAGATCCCTTTTTTATTTCTGTTGTTTGTAGAGCCATTAAAAAAGTGAACTAGGAGTGTCATGATAGAAGAGATGTCTTTGTTTTTGATCTTCTGGAGAAAGCTATCAATGTCAAGGTTGCCATCTGCTTTTGAGGAGAAGCTTCTCTGCTTAGATTTACCTAAAAGTCTCCAATTAAGATCTCCAGTATGATTGCAAGAGTTTAGAGGGCCCTTTGTGAGTTTAAAGATTATGAACCCAAGGTTTAAGATCCCAAAATCTTGATGCAGTGTAAGTGGCAAGCAGACTCATTCTCTTTGTTCTAGATTATAAAAGGTTTTCCTGTTCCCAGTCAGTAGATGATTAAAAGCTTTTCTGGCCAGGAGCAATGGCTGAACAGGTTCACACTGTGATGAAGGAGTGGGTTACAGTGAATAGGTTCCTTCTGTAATGAATGAGTGGGTGACAGTGAACAGGTTCCCACTGTGATGTCTGTGTGAGTGACAGTGAACAGGTTCCCACTGTGGTGAATGAGTGGGTGAGAGTGAACAGGTTCCCACTGTGTTGAGTGAGTGGGTGAGAGTGAACAGGTTCCCACTGTGATGAGTGAGTGACTGACAGTGAACAGGTTCCCACTGTGGTGAATGAGTGGGTGAGAATGAACAGGTTCCCACTGTGGTGAATGAGTGGGTGAGAGTGAACAGGTTCCACTGAGGTGAGTGAGTGGCTGACAGTGAACAGGTTCCCACTGTGGTGAAGGGGTGTCAGACAGTGAACATGTTCCCCCTGTGATTAATGAGTGGGAGACAGTGAACAGATTCCACTGTGATGAATGAGTGTGTGACAGTGAACAGGTTAATCCTGTAATAAATGAGTGGGAGGCAATGAACAGGTTCCCAATATGATGATTGTGTGGGTGACAGTGAACAGGTTCCCACTGTGGTGAATGAGTGGCTAAAATTGAACAGGTTCCTACTGTGGTGAATGAATGCCTGACAGTGAATAGGTTCCCACTGTGATGAATGAGTGGCTGATTGTGAAAAGGTTCCCTCTGTGATGAGTGAGTGGGTGCGAGTGAACAGGTTCTGACTGTGGTGTATGAGTGGGTGAAAATGAACAGTTTCCCACTGTGATGAGTGAGGGGCTGACAGTAAACAGGTTCCCACTGTGGTGACAGGGTGGCTGACAGTGAACAGGTTTCTATAGCGGTGAACGAGTGGGTGACAGTGAACTGGTTCCCACTGTGATGCATGAGCGGCCAAAGTGAAAAAGTTCCCACTGTGGTGAATGAGTGGGTGACAGTGAAAAAAATTCTAAGATGGTGAACCTGTGGATGACAGTCATCAGGTTTCTCCTGTAATGAATGAGTGGCTGACAGTAAACAGGTTTGCACTGTGATGAGTGAGTGGGTGAGACTGAACAGGGTTCTACTGTAATGAATAAGTGGGTGACAGTGAACACGTTCTCACAGTGATGAATGTGTTGGTGACAGTGAACAGGTTCCCACTGTGATAAATTAGTGGCTGACAGAGAACAGGTTCCCACTGTGGTGAAAGGGTAAGCGACAGTGAAAAAATTCCCACTCTGGTGACTGAGTGACTGACAGTGCACAGGTTTCTACTGCAGTGATTGAGTGGGTGACAGTGAACTGGTTCCCACTGTGGTGAATGAGTGGCTGACAGGGAAAAGGTTTCCATTGTGATGAATGAGTGCTGACAGTGAACACGTTCCTACTGTGGTGAATGAGTGTGTGACTGTCAACAAGATTCTACTGTTTTGAACGAGGGGGTGACAGTGATCATATTCCTCTGGTAATGGATGAGTAGGTGACAGTGAAGAGGTTGCCACTGTGATTAGTGATTGGGTGAAAGGGAAAAGGTTTCTACTGTGGTGAACGAGTGGGGGACAATGAACACGTTCTTACTGTGGTGAATGAGTGGCTGAGAGTAAACAGGTTCCCACTATGATTAATGAGTGGGTGACAGTGAACAGAGTCCCACTGTGATGAATGAGGGGGTGACAGTGAACAGGTTCCCACTGGGTAAATGAGCGGGTGAGAGTCAACAGTTTAGCACCGTGATGAGTGAGTGGGTGACAGTGAACAGGTTCCCGCTGTGGTAAATGAGTGGGCGACAGTGAACAGGTTTCCAAAGTGGTGTATAAGTGGCTGAGAGTGAACAGGTTCCCACTGTGATAAATGAGTGGGAGACAGTGAACAGGTTCCCATTGTGGAGAGTAAGAGGTTGACAGTCAACAGGTTCCCACTGTGGTGAATGAGTGGCTGACTGTGATCAGTTTCTCACTGAGATAAATGAGAGGATGACAGTGAACAGGTTCCCACTGCGATGAGGGAGTGGGTGACAGTGAACAAGTTCCCACTGTGGTGAGTGAGTGGGTGACAGTGAACAGGTTCCCACTGTGATGAAAGAGTGGGAGACAGTGAACAGTTTCACACTGTGATGAATGAGTGGGTGACAGTGAACAAGTTACCACTGTGATTAATGAGTGGCTGACAGTGAACAGGTTACCAATGTGATGAATGAGGGGCTGACGGTGAAAAGGTTGCCACTGTGTTGAATGAGTGGGTGACAGTGAAGAGGTTCCCACTGTGATGACTGAGTGGGTGACAGTGAATAGGTTTCCAGTGTGATGAATGAGTGAGTGACAGTTAACAGGTTCCCATTCTGGTGACTGAGTGGCTGACAGTGAGCAATTTTATGCTGCAGTGAACAAGTGGGTGACAGTGAATTGGTTCCCACTGTGGTGAATGAGTGGCTGAGAGGAACAACTTCCCACTGTGATGAATGAGAGGGTGACAGTGAACAGGTTTCTCCTGTGATGAATGAGTGGGTGACAGTGAACAGGGTTCCACTGTGATGAATGAGTAGGTTACAGTGAACAGGTTCCCACTGTGATGAGTGAGTGGGTGACAGTGAACAGGTTCCCACTGTGGTGAGTGAATGGGGGAAAGTGAAAAGTTTCCTACTGTGGTGAGTGAGGGGCTGACAGTCAACAATATCCCACTGTGGTGAATGTGGCTGACAGTGATCACTTTCCCACTGTGATAAATAAGTGGGTGACAGTGAATAGGTTCCACTTTGGTGAGTGAGTGGCTGACAGTGAACAGGTTTCCAGTGCAATGAATGAGTGTCTGACAGTGAACAGATTCCCACCTTGGTGAATGAGTGGGAGACAGTCAACAGTTTCCCACTGTGATGAATGAGTGGGTGACAGTGAACAGGTTCCTCCTGTGATCAATGAGTGGGAGGCAATGAACAGGTTCCCACTGTGATGAATGGATGGGTGACAGTGAACAGGTTCCCACTGTGATGAGTGAGTGGCTGACAGTAAATAGGTTCCTATGTGGTAACAGAGTGGCTGACTGAACAGGTTTCTACTGTGGTGAATGAGTCAGAGACAATGAAATATTTCCCTCGGTGTTGAACGAGTGGCTGACAGGGAAAGGTTCCCACTGTGATGAATAAGTGGGTGACAGTGAACAGGAATCTACTGTGGTGAATGAGTGGGTGACAGTGATCAGGTTCCTCCTGTAATGAATGAGTTGGGGACAGTGAATAAGTACCCACTGTGATAAATGAGTAACTGACAGTAAACAGAATTCCACTGTTAGTAGGTGACTGTGAACTGGTTTCTAGTATGGTGAATGAGTGGGTGAAAGTGAAGAGCATCCCACTGTGGTAAATAAGTGGCTGACAGTGAAGAGGTTCCCACTGTGATGAATGAGTCAGCGACACTGAAAATGTTAGTCCTGTAATGAATGAGTGGGTGACAGTGAACAGGTTCCCACTGTGATGAATGAATGGGTGAGAGTGAAAAGTTCCCACTGTGATGAATGAGTGGCTGACAGTGAACACGTTCCCACTGTGATGAATGAGTGGGTGACAGTGAACTAGTTCCCATTGTTGAGAATGAATGGGTAACAGTGAACAGGTTCCCACTGTGATGAATGAATGGGTGACAGGGAAGAGATTTCCACTGTGATGAATGAATGGGTGACAGTGAACAGGTTCCCACTGTGATGAAAAAGTGGGTGACAATTAACAGGCTGCCACTCTGATTAGTGAGTGAATGACGGTAAAAAAAGTTCTCATTGTGGTGATGGAGCGGGTGGCAGTGAACAGGTTCTCACTGTGGTTCATATGTGGTTGACAGTGAACAGGTTCTCACAGTGATGAATGTGTGGGTGAAAGTGAACAGGTTTTTACTTCGGTAAATGAGTGGGTTACAGTGAACAGGTTCTCATAGTGGTGAATGAGTGGGTGACAGTAAACAGGTTCCCACTGTAATGAATGAGTTGCTGACAGTGAACAGGTTCACACTGCAATGAACGAGTGGGTGACAGTAAACAGGTTCTGCCTATAATGAGTGAGTGGTTGAAAGTGAACAGGTTCCCATTTTGATGAATGAGTGTGTGACAGTAAACAGGTTCCTCCTGTAATGAATGAGTGGGTGAAAGGGAACGGGTTCCCACTGTGATGAAAAAGTGGGTGACAATAATCAGGTTCCCCTTGTAATGAATGAGTGGGTGAAAGTGAACAGTTTCCCACCGTGATGAGTGCATGTTGACCATGAACATGTTCCCAATGTAATGGAAGTGTGGGTGACAGTCAACAGGTTCTGACTGTGATGAGGGAGTGGGTAACAGTGAACAGGTTCCCACTGTGTTGACTGAGTGGGTGACAGTAAATTGGTTCCCATTTTGATAAGGGAATGGGTGACAGTGAACAAGTTCCCACTGTGATGGGTGAGCGGGTAACAGTGAACAGGTTTCCACTGCGATTCGTGAGTGTGTGACAGTGAAGAGGTTCCCACTGTGATGAATTAGTGGGTGACAGTGAAGAGGTTCCCACTGTGATGAGTGAGAGGCTGACAGTGAACAGGTTCTCACTATGGTGAATGAGTGGTTGAGAGTGAACAGGTTCCCACTGTGGTGAATAAGTGGCTGACAATGAACAAGTTCCCACTTTGATGAATGAGTGGTTTACAGTGAACAGGCTCCCACTTTGATGAGTGAGTGGGTGACAGTGAACAGGTTTCAACTTTGGTGAGTGAGGGGTGACAGTGAATAGGTTCCCACTGTGATGAATGAGTGGCTGAAAAAGAACAGGTTCCCACTGTGATTGATGAGTTGGTGACAGTGAACAAGTTCCCACTGTGATGTATAAGAAAGTGAGAGTGAACAAGTTCCAACTGTGCTTAGTAAGTTGCAGACAATGAACAGATTTCTACTGCAGTGAACAAGTGGGTGACAGTGAACAGTTTCCCACTGTAATGAATGGGTGTCTGACAGTGAACAGTTTCACAGTTTGATGAATGAGTGGTGACGGTGAACAGGTTCCCCTTGTAATGAATGAGAGGTTGACAATCAACAGGTTCCCATTGTGATCAATGAGTGGTGACAGCGAACAGGTTCCCACTGTGTTTAATGAGTGGGTGAGGGTGAACTGGTTCCCACTATGGTGAAAAAGTGAATGACAAAGAACAGGTACCCACAGTAATGAGTGAGTGGTTGACAGTGAACAGGTTTCCACTGTGATGAATGAGTTGGTTATGGTGAATAGGTTTACACCGTGACGAATGTGTATGTGACAGTGAACGGGCTCCCACTGTGGTGAATAAGTGGGTGGCAGTGAACAGGTTCTCATTGTAATGAATGAGTGGGTGAGAGTGAACAGGTTCTCACAGTGGCGAATGAGTGGTTGACAGTGAACAGGTTCTCTCTCTGATGAGTGAGTCAGTGAAAGTGAACAGGTTCCAACTGTGGTGAGTGAGTGGCTGACAGTGAACAGGTTCCCATTGTGGTGAATGAGTGCCTGACAGTGAACAGTTTCCCACTTTGATGAATGATTGGGTGACAGTGAACACGTTCCTTGTATGATAAATGAGTGAGTGACAGTGAATAAGTGTTTACTGTGTTGAACGATTGTGTGACAGTGAACAGGTTCCCACTGTGGTGAAAGAGTGGCTGGCAGTGAACAGGGTCCCATTATGATGAGTGTGTGGGTGACAGTGAAACGTTTCCTCCTGTAATGAATGAGTGGGTGACAGTCAACAGTCTTCCACTGTGAAGAATGCGTGGGTGACAGTGCACAGTTTTCCACTGTGGCGAATGAGTGGGTGAGAGTGAACAGTATTTCATTGTAATGGGTGAGTGGGTGACAGAGAACAGGTTCCCACTGTGGTGATTAAGCAGGTGACATTGAGCACATTCTCACTCTAATGAATGAATGTGTGACAGTGTACAGGTTACTCCTGTTATGATGAGTGGGTGACAGTGAACAAGTTCTTACTGTGGTGACTGAGTGACAGTGAACAGGTTCCCACTGTGATGAATGAATGGGTGACAGAGAACAGGTTCTCACTGTCGTGAATGAGTAGGTGTGAAAGAACAAGTTTCCAGTTTGGTTAGTGAGTGGGTGACAGTGAACATGTTCCCACTGTAAAGAGTGTGGTGGTGAGGGTGAACAGATTCCCACTATGGTGAATAAGTGGCTGACAGTGAATGGGTACCCACTGTGATGAGCGAGTTAGTGAGAGTGAACAGGTTCCCACTGTGATGAATATGTGGGTGACAGTGAACAGGTTCCCACTGTGAAGAGAGAATGGGTGAGAGTGAACAGCTTCCCACTCTGGTGAATTAGTGGGTAACAGTAAACAGTTTCCTCCTGTAATGAATGAGTGGGTGACAGTGAACAGTTATCCAATGTGGTGAATGAGTGGGTGAAAGAGAACAGGTTTTCACTGTGATGAGTGGATGAAAGTGAACAGGTTCCCACTGTGGTGAGTGAGTGGGTGACAGTGAACAAGTTTTCACTCTAATGAATGAGTGGGTGACAGTCAACTTGTTCCCACTGTGATGAATGTGTGGGTGACACTGAACAGTTTTCCAATGTGGTAAATGACTAAGTGACAGTGAACGGGTTCCCATGGTGGTGACTGAGTGGGTGACAGTGAACAGGTTCCAACTGTGATGAATGCGTGGGTGACAGTGACCATGTTCTCACTGTGGTGAATGAGTGGGTGGGAGAGAACAGCTTCCCACTGTGGTGAGTGAGTGGGTGACAGTGAACACGTTCCCACAGTGATGAGTGAGTTGGTGAGGGTGAACAGATTCCCACTGTGGTGAATAAGTGGCTAACATTGAAAGGGTAACCACTTTGATGAGTGAGTTGGTGAGAGTGAACAAGTTCCCACTGTGATGAATAAGTTGGTGACAGTGAACAGGTTCCCACTGTGATGAGTGAGTGGGTGAGAGTGAACAGGTTTCCATTGTGATAAATGACTGGGTAACAATGAGCAGGTTCCCACTGTGATGAGTGAGTGGGTGAAAGTGAACAGGTTCTCATTGTGGTGAGTGAGTGAGTGAAAGTGAACAGGTTTCATCTGTGATAAATGAGTGGGTGACAGTGAAAATGTTTCTCTGGCAATGAATGAGTGTGTGACGTTGAACAGGTTCCCATTGTAATGAATGAGTGGGTGACAGTGAAGATGTTCCCACTGTGGTGAATGAGTGGCTGAGAGTGTACAGGTTTTCACTGAGGTGACTGAGTGGGTGAGAGTGAACAGGTTCCCACAGTGATGAATGAGTGATTCACAGTGAACAGGTTCCCATAGGGATGAGTGAGTGGGCGACAGTGAACAGGTTCCCACTGTAATAAGTGAGTGCATGACAGTCAACCAGTTACCACTGTGATGAGTAAGTGGGTGACAGTGAACAAGTTCCCAAAGTGATGGATAAGTGGGTGATAGTTTCGCTGTGATTAGAGTGTGTGAAAGTGAACAGGTTCCCACTGTGATGAATGAGTGATTGACAGTGAAGAGGCTCCCACTGTAGTGAATGAGTGGGTGACAGTGTACAGGTTCCAACTGTGATGAATGAGTGTGTGAAAGTGAAGAGGTTCCTGCTGTGATGAATGAGTGGCTGACAGTGAACAGGTTTCCACTGTGGTGAATGAATGGTTGAGGTTGAACAGGTTCCCACAGTGGTGAATGAGTGGCTGACAACGTACAGCTTCCAACTGTGATGAATAAGTGGGTGACAGTGAACAGGTTCCCACCGTGATGAAGGAGTGGCTGACAGTGAACAAGTTCCCATTGTGATGAGTGAGTGGATGACAGTGATAAGTTTCCCACTGTAGTGAGAGTTTGGGAGACAATGTATAGGTTCCCAGTGTGATGAAAAATGGGTGACAGTGAACAGGTTCCCACTGTGATGAATCAGTGGGTGACAGTGAACTGGTTTCCACTGTGATGAGTGAGTGGGTGACAGTGAACATGTTCCCATTGTGATGAATGAGTGGCTGACCATGAACAGGTACCCAATGTGGTGAATGAGTGGGTGAGAAAGGACAGGTTCCCCTGTGGTAAGTTAGTTTGTGAAAGCGATCAGGTTCCCTCTGTGATGAGTGAGTCGGTGAGAGTTCACAGGTTCCCACTGAGATTAATGAGTGGCTGACAGTGAAGGGGTACCCACTGTGATGAGTGAGTGGGTGAGAGTGATCATATTCCCACTGTGCTGAATGTGTGGGTGACAGTGAACAGGTTCTCACTGTGATGAATGAGTGGGTGACAGTGAACAGGTTCTTACTGTGATGAGTAAGTGGGTGACAATGAACCGGTTTCCGTTGTGATGAGTGAGTGGGTGACAGTGAACAGGTTTCCATTGTGATGAACGAGTGGAAAACAGTGAACAGTTTCCCACTGTGATGAGTGAGTGGGTGACAGTGAACAGATTTCTACTGTGATTAGAGAGTGGGTGACAGTGAACTGGTTCTTACTGTCATGAGTGAGTTGGTGACAGTGAAGAGTTTATCATATTGATGAATGAGTGGGTGACAGTAAACATGTTCCCACAGTGATGAGTGAGAGCGTGACAGTGAACGGGTTCCCACTATGATGAATGAATGGGTGACAGTGAACAGGTTGCCACTGTGGTGAATGAGTTGGTGAGAGAGAACAGGTTTCCACTGTGATGAGTGAGTTTGCTGAAAGTGAATAGGTACCCACTGTGATGAGTGAGTTGGTGAGAGTGAACAGATTCCCACTGTGGTGAATGAGTGGGTGACAGTGAACAGATTCTCATAGGGATGAGTGAGTGGGCGACAGTGAACAAGTTCCCACTGTGATGAGTGATTGGGTGACATTGAACAGGTTCCCACTGTGATGAGTGAGTCGGTGACAGTGAACAGGTTCTCACTGTAGTGAGTGAGTTGCTGGCAGTGAACAGGTTAACACCGTGGTGAATGTGTGGGGACAGTGACTAGGTTTCTACTGTGTTGGATGAATGGGTGGCAGTAATCAGGGTCCTCCTTCAATGAATGAGTGGGTAACAGTTAACAAGTACTGACTGTGACGAATGAGTGGCTGACTGTGAACAGGATACCACTGTAATGAGTTAGTAGGTGGCAATGAACAGGTTCCCATTGTGGTGAATGATTGGGTGAGAGTGAACAGGTTCCTGCAGTGATGAGTGAGTGGCTGAGTGTGAACAGGTTCCTACCGTGGTGAATGGGTGGGTGAGAGTGAACAGGTTCCCACGTTAGTGAATGAATGGCTGACAGTGAACATGTTCTTAGTGTGATGACGGATTGGGTGACAGTGGAGAGGTTCCCACTATTGTGAGTCAGTTGCTGACAGTGAACAGGTTCTCACTGTGCTGAATGGGTGGGTGAGAGTGAACAGGTTGTGACCGTAGTGAATGAGTGGCTCACAGTGAACAGGTTCCCAATATGATGAGTGAGTTGACAACAGTGAACATGTTCCCACTGTGATAAATGAGTGGCTGACAGTGAACAGGTTCCCGCTGTGGTGAATGAGTAGGTGAGAGAGAACAGGCTTCCCCTGTGGTGAGTTAGTTGGTGACAGTGATAAAGTTCTCACTGTGATGAGTGAGTTGGTGAGAGTGAACATGTTCCCAATGTGATGAATGAGTGAGTAGACAGTGAACAGGTTCCCACTGTGATGAGTGAGTGTCTGACAGTAAACAGGTTCCCATTGTGGTGACTGAGTGGCTGACAGTGAACAGGTTTCTACTGCTGTGAACGGCTGTGTGACATTGAACAGCTTCCCACTGTGGTGAAAGTGTGGGTGACCGTGAACTTGTTCTAGCGGTGGTGAATGAGTGGCTGACAGTGAACAGTTTCTTACTGTGAGAAATGAGTGGGTGACAGTGAACAGGTACCCCATGTAATGAATGTGTGGGTGGTAAAGAACAGGTTCCAACTGTAATGAATGAGTGGGGGACAGTGAACAGGTTCCTCCTTTAATGAATGTGTGGGTGACAGTGAACAGGTCCCCACTGTCATAACTGAGTGGGTGACAGTGAACAGGTTCCCAAAGGAATGAATGAGTCTGTGACAGTGAACAGGTTACAACTGTGATGACTGAGTGGGTTACAGTGAAAAGGATCCCACTGTGGTGAATGAGTGAGAGATAGTGAAAACTTTTCACTTTAGTGAATGAGTGGGTGACAGTGAACATGTTCCCACTGTGGTGAATGAGTGGCTGATAGTAAACAGGTTCACACTGTGATGAGTGAGTGGGTGACAGTGAACAGGTTCCCACTGTGATGAGTGAGAGGCTGACAACAAAGAGGTTCCCACTGTGGTGAATAAGCGGGTGAAGGTGAACAGGTTCCCATTGTGAAGAATGAGTGGGTAAAAGTGAAGAGGTTCCTTTTTTTAGTACATGAGTGCCTTACAGTGAACAGGTTCCCACTATGATGAATGTGTGGATGGCAGAGAAGACATTCTCACTGTGATGAATGAGTGGCTGACAGTGAACCGTTTTCTACTGCAGTGAATGAATGTGGAAAGTGAACAGGTTTCTACTGTGTTGAATGAATGTGTGATAGAAATCAGGTTCCTCCTGTATTGAATGCATGGGTGACAAGGATCAGGTACTGAGTGTGAAGAAAGAATGGCTGACTGTGAACAGGTTCCCACTGTGATGAATGAGTGTGTGGCAGTGAACAGATTTCTACTGCGGTAAACCAGTGGTTAACAATGAATAGGTAACCACTGTAACGAATGAGTGGCTGACAGTGAACAGGTTTCCACTGTGATTAATGAGTGGGTGATAGTGAACAGGTTCCCACTGTGGTGAGTGAGTGATTGACAGTGAACAGTTTCCCTCTATGATGAATGAGTGGGTGACAGTAAACAGGTTCCTCATGTAATGAATGTATCGGTGACAGTGAACAGGTTCCCACTCTGGTGAATGAGTGGGTAGCAGTGAACAGGTTCCCAAAGGAATGAATGAGTTTGTGACAGTGAACAGGTTCCAACTGTGATGACTGAGTTACAGTGAACAGAATCTTACTGTGGTGAATGAGTAAGTGACAGTGAACAGCTTCCCACTGTAATGAATGAGTTAAAGACAGTGAACAGGTTCCCACTGTGATGACTGAGTGGGTGACAGTGAACAGGTTCCCACTGTAGTGCATGAGTGGCTGACAGTAAACAGGTTCGCACTGTGATGAGTGAGTGTGTGACAGTGAACAGGTTCCTACTGAGATGAGTGAGAGGCTGACAATGAACAGGTTCCCACTGTGGTGAATGAGTGGGTGACAGTAAACTGATTCCCACTGTGGTGAGTGAGCGGGTGACAGTGAACAGTTTCACACGTTGGTAAATGAGTGGCTGACAGTGAACAGGTTTCTAATGCAGTGAACGAGTGGGTGACAGTGAACAGGTTCCCAATTTGGTGAATGACTCACTGACAGTGAATATGTTACCACCGTGATGAATGAGTGGCTGACAGTGAACAGGTTCCCACTGTGGTGAATGAGTGAGTGACAGTGAGCAGGTTGCCATTGGGAAAAATGAGTGTGTGAAAGTGAAGAAGTTTCTTTTGTAATGAATGGGTGGGTGACAATAAACAGGTTTCCACTGTAATGAATGTGTGGATGACAGAGAAGAGGTTCCCACTATGGTGAATAAGGCAGTGAAGGTGAACAGGTTCCCATTGTGAAGAATGAGTGGGTGAAACTGAAGAGGCTCCTTTCGTAATGAATGAGTGGGTGACAGTGAACAGGTTCCCAGTGTGATGAATGTGTGGATGACAGAGAAGAGGTTCTCACTGTGGTGAATGAGTGGGTGACAGTGAACAGGTTCCCATTGTGATGAATGGGTTGATGACAGTGAACAGGTTTCTACTGTGGTAAATAAAAGGTTGACAGTGAACATGTTCCCACTGTGGTGAATGAGTGGCTGGCAGTGAACAGATTCCCAATGTTCTGAATGTGTGGGTGACAGTGAACATGTTCCTCGTGTGATAAGGGTGGGTGACAGTGAATAAGTACTCACTGTGATGAATGAGTGGGTGAAAGTGAACAGGTTCCCACTGGGGTGAAAGAGTGGGTGAGTGAACTGGTTCCCAAAGTGATGAGTGAGTGGGTGAGCATGAATAGGTTTCTACTGCAGTGAACAAGTGAGTGAGAGTGAACAGGTTCCCACAGTAGTGAATGAGTGTTTCACAATAAACATGTTCTTACTGTGATGACGGATTGGGTGACAAGGAATAAGTTCCCACTGTTGTGAATGAATTGTTGACAGTGAACAGGTTTTCACTGTGATGAATGGGCTGGTGAGAGTGAACAGGTTCGCACCATAGTGAACAGGTGGCTCACAGTAGCAGGTTCCCAATGTGATGAGTGAGTTAATGACAGTGAACCCATTGCCACTGTGAAGAGTGAGTGGCTCACAGTGAACAGGTTCCCACTGTGGTGAATGAGTGGGTGACAGTGAATAGGTTCTCACTGTGATGAGAAGGTGACAGTGAACTTGTACCCACAGTAGTGAATGAGTGTCTCATAATGAACATGTTCTTACTGTGATGATGGATTGGGTGACATTGAACGGGTTCCCACTGTTGTGAATGAGTTGCTGACAGTGAACAGGTTCTCACAGTGCTGAATGGGTTGGTGAGAGTGAACAGGGTCTCACCATAGTGAATTAGTGGCTCACAGTAGACAGATTCTCAATGTGATGAGTGAGTTAATGACAGTGAACCGGTTCCCACTCTGAAGAGTGAGTGGTTGACAGTGAACAGGTTCCCACTGTGGTGAATGAATGGGTGACAGTGAACAGGTTCCCACTGTGGTGAGTGGGTGACAGGAAATAGGTTCTCACTGTGATGAATGAGAGGGTGACAGTCAACTTGTACCCACTGTTGAGAATGAGTGTCTGACGGTAAACAGGTTCTGATGACTGAGTGGCTGACAGTGAACAGATTACTACTGCGGTGAACGAGTGGGTGGCATTGAAATGCTTCCCACTGTGGTGAATGAGTGGGTGACAGTGAACAGGTACCCAATGTTATGAAAGAGTGGCTGATGGTGAGCAGGTTTCCACTGTGATAAGTGAGTGGGTGACAGTGAACAGTTTCCCACTGTAATGAGTCAGTGAGTTGCAGTGAACTGGTTCCCCCTGTGATAAATGAGTGGGTGACAGTGAATAGGTTCCCACTGTGATGAGTGAGTGGGTGACAGTGAACATGTTCCCACTGTGATGAATGACTGGCTGACAGTGAACAGGTTCCCAATGTGGTAAATAAGTGGGTGAGAGAGAACAGGTTCCACCTGTTGTGAGTTAGTCTGTGACAGTGATCAGGTTCCACTGTGATGAGGGAGTAGGTGAGAGTTCACAGGTTCCCACTGTGATAAATGAGTGGCTGACAGTGAAGGAGTAGCCATTGTGATGAGTGGGTTGGTGAGAGTGAACAAGTTCCCACTATGATGAATGTGTGGGTGACAGTGAACAAGTTCCACCATGACGACTGAGTGGGTGGGAGTGAATAGGCTCCCACGGTGGTGAATTAGTGGGTAAGGGCAAACAGGTTCCCTCTCTGATGAGTGAGTGGATGACAGTGAACAGGTTCTTACTTTTTTTTTTTTTTTTTGAGACGGAGTTTCGCTCTTGTTGCCCAGGCTGGAGTGCAATGGCATGATCTCGGCTCACCGCAACCTCTGCTGCCTGGGTTCAAGTGATTCTCCTGCCTCAGCCTCCCGAGTAGCTGGGATTACAGGCATCCACCACCATGCCCGGCTAATTTTTGTATTTTTGGTAGAGACAGGGTTTCACCATATTGGCCAGGATGGTTTTGATCTCTTGACCTCGTGATCTGCCCGCCTAAGCCTCCCAAAGTGCTGGGATTACAGGCGTGAGCCACTGTGCCCAGCCACAGGTTCTTACTTTGATGAGTGAGTGGGTGACAGTGAACCGGTTCCCATTGTGATGAGTGAGTGGGTGACAGTGAACAGGTTTCCATTGTGATGAATGAGTGGGAAACAGTGAATAGTTTCCCACTGTGATGAGTGAGTGGGTGACAGTTAACAGGTTTCCACAGTGATTAGTGAGTGGGTGACAGTGAACAGGTTCCCACTGCCTTGAATGAGTTGGTGACAGTGAACTATTTACTATATTATTAATGAGTGAGTGACAGTGAACAGGTTCCCACTGTGAGGAATGAGTGGGTGACAGTGAACTGGTTCCCACTGTGGTGAATTAGTGGGTGAGAGAGAACAGGATCCCACTGTGGTAAGTGAATTGGTGACAGTGAATAGGTACCCACTGTGATGAATGAGTTGGTGAGAGTGAACAGATTCCCACTGTGGTGAATGAGTGGGTGACAGTTAACAGGTTCCCACTGTGATGAATGTGTTGTTGACAGTGAAGAGTTTCACACAGTGATGAGTGAGAGGCTGACAGTAAACAACTTGACACTTTGGTGACTGAGTGGCTGACAGTGAACAAATTTCTATTGAGCTGAAAGAGTGGGTGACAGTGAACTTCTTCCTACTGTGGTGAATGAGTGGCTGACAGTGAAGAAGTTAACACTGTGATGAATGAGTGGCTGACAGTGAACCGTTTCCTACTGTGTAGAATGACTGACAGTAATCAGGTTCCTCCTGTAATGAATGAGAGTGTGACAGTGAACAGTTACCGACTGTGACGAATGAGTGGCTGACTATGAACAGGTACCCTCTGTGATGAGTGAGTGTGTGACAGTGAACACGTTTGTATTGTGAAAGACTGGGTGACAATGAACAGGTTCCCACTGTGCTCAATGAGTGGCTGACAGTGAACAGGTTCCCACTGTGATGAATGAGTTGGTGACAGTGAACAGGTTCCTCCTGTATTGAAAAGTGGGTGACAGTGAACAAGTTCCCACTGTGGCGAATGTGTGGGTGAGAGTGAAGAGGTTCCCACAGTGATGAGTGAGTGGGTGAGGGTGAACAAGTTCCTACTGTGGTGAGTGAGTGGGTGAGAGTGAACAGGTTCCCACAGAAGTGAATGAGTGGCTTACAGTGAACATATTCTTAGTGTGATGATGGATTGGGTGACAGTGAACAGTTTCCCACTGCTGCGGATGAGTTTCTGACAGAGAACAGGTTCTCAATGTGCTGAATATGTGGGTGAAAGTTAACAAGTTCCCACCATAGTGAATAAGTGGCTCACAGTGAACAAGTTCCAAATGTGATGAGTGAGTTGGTGACAGTGAACAGGTTCACACTGTGATGAGTGAGGGACTGAGAGTGAACAGGTTCCCACTGTGGTGAATGAGTTGGTGACAGTGAACTGCTTCCCACTGTCGTTATTGAGTGGGTGACACTGAACATATTCTCACTGTGATGAATGAGAGTGTGACAGTGAACTGGTTCCCACTGTGGTGAATTGAGTGTCCGACAGTAAACAGCTTCTCACTGTGGTAAGTGAGTTGGTCACAACGAACAGGTTTCTACTGCAGTGAACTAATGGGTGACACTGAACCACTTCCCACTGTGGTAAATGAACATGTTCCCACTGTGATGAAGAAGTGGCTGACAGTGAACAGGTTTCCATTGTTATGCATGAGTGGGTGACAGTGAACAGTTTCCCACTGTGTTGAGTTAGTTGATGACAGTAATTAGGTTCCCACTGTGGTGGGTGAGTTGGCGAGAGTGCACAGGTTCCCACTGTAGTGAATGTGTGGCTGACAGTGAAGCGGTGCCCATAGTAATGAGTGGGTGAGAATGAAAATATTTGCACTGTGATGAATGTGTGGGTGACAGTGAAAAGGTTTCCACTTTGATGATTTAGTGGGTGAGAGTGAACAGGTTCCAACTGTAGGGAATGAGTGGGTAAGGGTGAACTGGTTTTCACTGTGATGAATGAGTGAGTGACAGTGAACAAGTTCTTACCCTGATGAATGAGTGGGTGACAGTGAACAGGTTCTTACTGTGATGAGTGAGTGGGTGAAAGTGAAGAGGTTCCCATTCTGATGAATGAGTGAAAGGCACCGAACAGGTTCCCACTGTGAATAGTGAGTGGGTGACAGTGAACAGGTTCCCAATGTGATGAGTGTGTGGGTGACAGTGAACAAGTTCCCACCATTGTTAATGCGGTCATGAGAGAGAACATGTTCCCACTGTGCTGAGTGAGTGGGTGACAGTGAACAGGTACCCACTGTGATGAGTGAGTTGGTGAGAGGGAACAGCTTCCCACAGTGGTGAATGAGTGGCTGACAGTGAACAAGAACACACTGTGATAAGTGAGTGGGTGAGAATAAACGGGTTCCCACTGTGATTAATGCGTGTGTGACAGTAAACGGGTTCCCACTGTGATGAGTGGGTGAGAGTGAACCGGTCCCCCTGTGGTCAGTGAGTGGGTAACAATGAACAGATTTTCAATGTGATGAGTGAATGGGTGACAGTGAACAGGTTCCCACTGTGGTGAATGAGTGGCTGACAGTGAAAAGGTTCTCACTGTGCTAAATGGGTGGGTGAGAGTGAAGAGGTACCCACAGTAGTGAACGAATGGCTGACAGTGAACCGGTTCACACTGTGGTGAGTGATTGGAGGACAGTGAACATGTTTCTACTGTTGTGAAAGAGTGAGTGACAGTGATAAGGTACCTCCTGTAATGAATGAGTGGATGACAGTGAACATGTTCCCACTGTGATGAATGAGTGTGTGACAGTGGACAGTTTCCCACTGTGGTGAATGAGTGGTTGAGAGTGAACAGGTTCTCACTGTGGAGAGTGAGTGGTTGACAGTGAACAATATCTGACTGTGATGAATATGTGGTTGACAGTGAACAGGTTCCTCCTGTAATGAATGGGTTTGTGACAGTAAACAGGTACCCACTGCAATGAGTGAGTGGGCGACAGTGAAGAGGTTCCCACTGTGGTGAATGAGAGGGTGGCAGTGAACATGTTCCCAGTTTGATAAATGATTGGGTGACAGTGAACATGTTCCCACTGTGATAAGTGAATGGCTGACAGTAAACAGGTAACCACTGTGGTGACTGTGTGGCTGACAGTGTGCAGGTTTCTACTGCAGTGAACAAATGGGTGACAGTGAACTGTTTCCACTGTGGTGAATGAGTGGCTGACAGTGAACAGGTTCCCACTCTGGTGAATGAATGGTTGACAGTGAACAGGTTTCTACTGTGGTGAACGAGTGGGTGACAGTGATTAGGTTCCTCCTGTAATGAATGAGTGGGTGACAGTGATCTGGCACCCTCTGTGATGAGTGAGTGGCTGACAGTGAACAGGATACCACTGTGATGTGTGAGTGGGTGACAGTGAACATGTATCTACTGTGGTGAATGAGTGCTTGACAGTTAACTGGTTCCCACTGTGGTGAATGAGCAACTGACAGTGAACAAGTTCTCACTATGATGAATGAGTGGGTGACAGTGAACAGGTTCCTTTTGTAATGAATGGGTGACAGTGAAGATGTTCCCTCTGTGATAAATGAGTGGGTGACAGTGAACAGGTTCCCACTGTGGCAAATGAGTGGGTGAGAGGGAACAGGTTCCCACTGGGATGAGTGAGTTGGAGACAGTGAACAGGTAACCACTATGGTGAATGAGTGGGTGACAGTGAACAGGTTCCCAGTGAACAGGTTCCCAGTGAAATGAATGAGTTTTTGACAGTGAAAATGTTCCCACTGTGATGACTGAATGGGTGATAGTGAACACTTTCCCACTGTTGTGAATGAATGGCTGACAGTGGACAGGTTCTTACTTGTTGAATATGTGGCTGACAGTGAATAGCTTCTCACTGTGTTGAACGAGTGACTCAGAGTGAACAGGTTTTTCACAGTAGTGATTGAGTGGCTCACAGTGAAGAGTTTCCCACTGTGACAAGTGAGTGGGTGAGAACAGTTTCCCAGTGTGATGACTGAGTGGCTGGCAAGGAACAGGTTTCCACTCTGGTAAATGAATGGGTGACAGTAAACTGGTTCCTATCATGGTGAGTGAGTTGGTGACAGTGAACAGGTTCTTACTGTGATGAATGAGTGGGGTGACATTGAACAGGTTCTCGCTGTGATGAATGAGTGTGTGAACAGTGAACTGGTTCCCACTGTGGTGAACAAGTGGCTGATAGTAAACAGGTTCCCATTGTGATGACTGAGTGGCTGACAGTGAACAGCTTTCTACTGGGGTGGAAGAGTGTGTGAATGAGTGGGTGATGGTGAATTCCTTCCAACTGCGGAGAAAAAGTTGGTGAGTGAACAGGTTCCCGCTGCAATGAATGAGTGGCTAAAAAATGAACAGGTTCTCAATGTGGTGAATGAGAGGGCAACAGTGTGCAGGTTGTTACTGTGATGAATGCATGACTGACAGTGAAAAGGTTCCCTCTGTGTTGTATGTGTGGCTGACAGTGAACAGCTTTCTACTACAGCAAACGAGTGGGTGACAGTGAAAATGTTGCCACTGTGGTGAGTGAGTGGCTGATTGTTAACAGGTTTGCATTGTGGTGAATGAGAGGCTGGTAGTGAATAGGTTCCCACTGTGGTGAATGAGTGGGTGACAGTGAACAAGTTACCCCTGTAATGAATGAGTGGGTGACAGTGAACCACTGCCCACTGAGATGAATGAGTGAGTGACAGTAAACATGTTCCCACTGTGGCGAATGAGTAGGTGAAAGTGAACAGGTTCCCATTGCGGTGATTGTGTGGCTAATAGTTAATAGATTCTCACTGTGATGAGTAAGTATGTGACAGTGAACAGCATGCCACTGTGATAAATGAGCACATGACAGTGACCAGGTTCCCACTGTGATGAATGAGTGTGTGAAAGTCAGCAGGTTCCCATTGTGGTGAATGAGTGGGAGAGAGTGAAGAGGTTTGTACTGTGGTGAATGCGTGGCTGACAGTGAGCTGATTTTCATCGTGGTGAGTGAATTGATGACAGTCAACAGGTCCACACTGTGTTGAGTGAGTAGCTGACAATGGACAGGTTCTCAGTGTGATGAAAGAGTGAGTGACAGTGAAAACGTTCCCACAGTGATGAGTGAGTGGGTGACACTGAACAGGTTCCCACTGTGATGAATGAGTAGGTGACAGTGCACAGGCTCTTACTGTGATGAGTGGGTGGATGAAAGTGAAGAAGTTCCCATTGTGATGAGTGAGGGGTGACAGTGAACAGGTTCCCACTGTGATGAGTGAGTGGGTGACAGTGTAGAGATTCCCACTGTGGTTAATTAGTGGGAGAAAGTTAACAGGTTCCACCGTGTTGAGTTAGTGGGTGACAGTGAAAAGGTTCCCACTGTGGTGAATGAGTGTGAGAAAGAAAACAAGTTCCCTCTGTGATGAGCGAGTGGGTGACTGTAAACAGGTTCGCAATGTGATTAGTGAATGAATGACAGTGAACCGGTTTCCACTGTGATGAATGAGTGGATGACAGTGTACAGGATCCTCCTGTAATGAATGAGTGGGTGACAGTGAAAAGTTCCCACTATGATGAATGAGTGGGTGACAGTGAAAAGGTTCCCACTATGATGAATGAGTGGGTGACAGTGAATAGTTTCCCACTGTGGTGAATGAGTATGTGAAACTGAACAGGTTCCCACTCTGCTGAATGAGTGTGTGAAAGTGAATAGGTTCCCACTATGATGGTGAGTGGATGACAGTAAAGAGGTTCTCAATGTGGTGATGGAGTCGCTGACAGTGAACAGGTTACCAATGTGATGAATGAGCGGCTGACAGTGAACAGGTTCCCACTGTGTTGAATGAGTGGGTGGCAGTGAAAAGGATTCTACTGTGGTAAAAGAGTGGGTGACAAAGACCAAGTTTCCCCTGTAATGAACGAGTGGGTGACAGTGAACAAGTACCCACTCTGATGGATGAGTGGTGGACAGGGAACAGGTTTCCACTGTGATGCGTGTTTTGGTGACAGGAAACAAGTTTCTATTGCGGTGAATGAGTAGGTGACAGTGAACTGGTTCCAGTGTGATGAACGAGTGGCTGACAGGGAACAGATTCTCACTGTGGTGAATTAGAGATTGAGAGTGAACAGGTTCCCACAACAGGGAGTAAGTGGCTCACAGTGAAGAGGTTCCCACTCTGATGAGTGATTAGGTGACAGGGGACAGGTTCCCACTGTGATAACAGAGTGGATGAAAGTTAACAGATTAAGACTCTGGTGAATGAGTGGGTGACAGTGAACAGGTTCCCACTGTGGTGAGTGAGTGAATGATGGTGACAGGATCCAACTGTGAGGAATGAGTGGGTGACAGTGAACAGGTTCTCGTTTTCATGAAGGAATGGGTGGCAGCGAACTGGTTCCCACTGTGGTGAATGAGTGGCTGACAGTAAACAGGTTTCCACTGTGATGCGTGTATCAGTGACAGTAAACAAGTTTCTACTGCGGTGAACGAGTAGGTGACAGTGAACTGGTTCCCACTGTGATGACTGAGTGGCTGACAGTGAGCAGATTCTCACTGTGGTGAATTAGAGATTGAGAGTGAACAGGTTCCCACAACAGGGAATAAGTGGCTCACAGTGAAGAGGTTCCCACTGTGATGAATTATTAGGTGACAGTGGAGAGGTTCCCACTGTGATAACAGAGTGGCTGAAAGTTAACAGGTTAATATCTCCTTTATCATTTTCAATAAAAATGATCATTTTCAATAAAAAATGATAAAGGGGATATCACCACCGATCCCACAGAAATACAAACTACCATCAGAGAATACTACAAACACCTCTACGCAAATAAACTAGAAAATCTAGAAGAAATGGATAAATTCCTCGACACATACAACCTCCCAAGACTAAACCAGGAAGAAGTTGAGTCTCTGAATAGACCAATAACAGGCTCTGAAATTGTGGCAATAACCAATAGCTTACCATCCAAAAAGAGTCCAGGACCAGATGGATTCACAGCCGAATTCTACCAGAGATACAAGGAGGAACTGTTACCATTCCTTCCGAAACTATTCCAATCAATAGAAAAAGAGGGAATCCTCCCTAACTCATTTTATGAGGCCAGCATCATCCTGATACCAAAGCCGGGCAGAGACACAACCAAAAGAGAGAATTTTAGACCAATATCCTTGATGAACATTGATGCAAAAATCCTCAATAAAATACTGGCAAACCGAATCCAGCAGCACATCAAAAAGCTTATCCACCATGATCAAGTGGGCTTCATCCCTGGGATGCAAGGCTGGTTCAATATACACAAATCAATAAATGTAATCCAGCATATAAACAGAACCAAAGACAAAAACCACATGATTATCTCAATAGATGCAGAAAAGGCTTTTGACAAAATTCAACAACACTTCATGCTAAAAACTCTCAATAAATTAGGTATTGATGGGACGTATCTCAAAATAATAAGACCTATCTATGACAAAGCCACAGCCAATATCATACTGAATGGGCAAAAACTGGAAGCATTCCCTTTGAAAACTGGCACAAGACAGGGATGCCCTCTCTCACCACTCCTATTCAACATAGTGTTGGAAGTTCTGGCCAGGGTAATTAGGCAGGAGAAGGAAATAAAGTGTATTCAATTAGGAAAAGAGGAAGTCAAATTGTCCCTGTTTGCAGACGACATGATTGTATATCTAGAAAACCCCATTGTCTCAGCCCAAAATCTCCTTAAGCTGATAAACAACTTCAGCAAAGTCTCAGCATGCAAAATCAATGTACAAAAATCACAAGCACACTTATACACCAATAACAGACAAACAGAGAGCCAAATCATGAGCGAACCCCCATTCACAATTACTTCAAAGAGAATAAAATACCTAGGAATCCAACTTACAAGGGATGTGAAGGACCTCTTCAAGGAGTACTACAAACCACTGCTCAATGAAATAAAAGAGGATACAAAGAAATGGAAGAACATTCCATGCTCATGGGTAGGAAGAATCAATATTGTGAAAATGGCCATACTGCCCAAGGTAATTTATAGATTCAATGCCATCCCCATCAAGCTACCAATGACTTTCTTCACAGAATTGGAAAAAACTACTTTAAAGTTCATATGGAACCAAAAAAGAGCCCGCATCACCAAGTCAATCCTAAGTCAAAAGAACAAAGCTGGAGGCATCATGCTACCTGACTTCAAACTATACTACAAGGCTACAGTAACCAAAACAGCATGGTACTGGTACCAAAACAGAGATATAGATCAATGGAACAGAACAGAGCCCTCAGAAATAATGCCCCATATCTACAACTATCTGATCTTTGACAAACCTGACAAAAACAAGCAATGGGGAAAGGATTCCCTATTTAATAAATGGTGCTGGGAAAACTGGCTAGCCATATGTAGAAAGCTGAAACTGGATCCCTTCCTTACACCTTATACAAAAATCAATTCAAGATGGATTAAAGACTTAAACTTTAGACCTAAAACCATAAAAACCCTAGAAGAAAACCTAGGCATTACCACTCAGGTCATAGGCATGGGCGAGGACCTCATGTCTCAAACACCAAAAGTAATGGCAACAGAAGCCAAAATTGACAAATGGGATCTAATTAAACTAAAGAGCTTCTGCACAGCAAAAGAAACTACCATCAGAGTGAACAGGCAACCTACAAAATGGGAGAAAATTTTCGCAACCTACTCATCTGACAAAGGGCTAATATCCAGAATCTACAATGAACTCAAACAAATTTACAAGAAAAAACTAACAACCCCATCAAATAGTGGGTGAAGGACATGAGCAGACACTTCTCAAAAGAAGACATTTATGCAGCCAAAAAACACATGAAAAAATGCTCACCATCACTGGCCATCAGAGAAATGCAAATCAAAACCACAATGAGATACCATCTCACACCAGTTAGAATGGCAATCATTAAAAAGTCATGAAACAACAGGTGCTGGAGAGGATGTGGAGAAATAGGAACACTTTTACACTGTTGGTGGGACTGTAAACTAGTTCAACCATTGTGGAAGTCAGTGTGGCAATTCCTCAGGGATCTAGAACTAGAAATACCATTTGACCCAGCCATCCCATTACTGGGTATATACCTAAAGGACTATAAATCATGCTGCTATAAAGACACATGCACACATATGTTTATTGCAGCACTATTCACAATAGCAAAGACTTGGAACCAAGCCAAATGTCCAACAATGATAGACTGGATTAAGAAAATGTGGCACATATACACCATGGAATACTATGCAGCCATAAAAAATGATGAGTTCATGTCCTTTGTAGGGACATGGATGAAATTGGAAATCATCATTCTCAGCACACTATCGCAAGGACAAAAAACCAAACACTGCATGTTCTCACTCATAGGTGGGAATTGAACTATGAGAACACATGGACACAGGAAGGGGAACTTCACACTCTGGGGACTGTTGTGGGGTGGGAGTGGGGGGAGGGATAGCATTAGGAGATATGCCTAATGCTAAATGACGAGTTAATGGGTGCGGCACACCAGCATGGCACATGTATACATATTTAACTAACCTGCACATTGTGCACATGTACCCTAAAACTTAAAGTATAATAATAATAATAATAAAAAAATAAAAAAGAAAAGCTTTCCACAGTGGTGAAAGAATGGGTGAGAGTGAACAGCTTCCCATCGTGGTGAATGGTGAATGAGTGGCTGTCAGTGAACAGGTTCCCACTGTGATTACTGAGTTTTTGAGAGTGACAGGTTCCCACTGTGATGAATGAGTGAGTGACAGTGACAGGTTCCCATTGTGATGCAGGAGTGGGTAACAGTTAAATTGTTTCCACTGTGGTGAATGAGTGGGTGAGAATAAACAGGTTTTCACTGTGGTGAGTGAGTGGCTGACAGTCAACAGGTTCCCACTCTGGGGATTGAGTGAGTGACAGTGAACAGGTTCCCAGTGTGATGAGTGAGTGGGTGAAAATTAATAGGATCCCAGTGTGATGCATGAGTGGGTGACAGTGAACAGGTTCCCATGGTGATGAATGAGGGGTTTACTGTGAACAGGTTCCCAATGTGAAGAATGAGCAGCTGACAGTGAACAGGTTCCCACTGTGATGAGTAAGTGAGTGACAGTGAATAGGTATCTACTGTGATGAGTGAGTGGGTGACAGCTAACAAGTTACCGCTGTGATGTATGAGTGGGTGAGAGTGAACAGGTTCCACGGTGGCAATTGAGTTGGTGGCAATGAACAGGTTTTCACTGTGGTGACTGTGTGGGTGACAGTGAACAGGTTGCCACTGTGATGTGTCAGTGGCTGACAGTGAACAGCTTCTCACTGTGGTTAATGGGTGGCTGACAGTGAACAGGTTCCTACTGTGATGAATAAGTTACTGAGAGTAAAGAGGTTCGTCCAGTAATGAATAAGTGGGAGACAGTGAGCAGTTTCCCATTGTGGTGAATGAGTGGGTGAGAGTGAAAAGATTCCTAATGTGGTGAATGAATGGCTGACCATGAACAGGTTCTCACTGTGATGAGTGAGTGACAGTGAACAGATTCCCACTATGATAAATGTGTGGGTGACAGTAAACAGATTTCCACTGTAGTGAAGGAGTGAATGACAGTAAACTGGTTCCCACTGTGGTGAATGAGTGGCTGACTGTAAACAGGTTCCCACTGTGGTGACTGAGTGGCTTACAGTGAACAGGTTTCTACTGCGGTGAACGAGTGGTTGACAGTAAATTACTTCCCACTGTGGTGAATGAGTGGGTGACAGTGAAATGGTTCCCATTCTGATGAATGAATGTCTGACAGTGAACAGGTTACCACTGTGGTGAATGTGTGGTCGACAGTGAACAGTTTCCCACTTTGATAAATTAGTGGGTGACAGTGAACATGTTCCCACTTTGGTGAGTAAGTTGGTGATAGTGAACAGGTTTCTACTATGGTGAACGAGTGGATGACAGTGAACAGGTTCCCAATGTGGGAAATGAGTGCCTGACAGTCAACAGGTTCCCACTGTGGTGAATGAGTGGCTGACATTGAACAGGTTCCCACCATGATGAATGAGTTGGTGACAGTAAAGACGTTCCTCCTGTAATGAATGAGTGTGTGACAGTGAACAGGTTCTCACCATGATGGTTCAGTGGGTGACAGTGAACATGTTTACACTGTGGAAAATGTTTTGGTGAGAGTGAAAATGTTCCCACTGTGGTGAATGTATGGCTGACAGTGAATGGGTTCCCACTGTGATGAATGAGTTGGTGAAAGTTAACAGGTTCCCACTGTGATGAAAATGTGGGTGACAGTGAACAGGTTCCCACTGTGATGAATGATTAGGTGACAATCAACAGATTCCCACTGTGGTGAAAGAGAGGGTGAGGGGGAAAAGGCTCCTACTGTGGTGAAGGAATGACTGACAGTGAACAGGTTCCCACTATGGTGTGTGAGTGTATGACAGTGAAAAGGTTCCCATTATGATGAGAGAATGGGTGACAATATATAGATTCCCAGTGTGATGAATGAGTGGGTGACAGTGAACAGGTCCCCACTATGATAAAAGAGTGGGTGACAGTGAGCAGCTTCTCACTGGGATGAATGAGTTGCTGACAGTGAACACATTCCCACTGTGATGAGTAAGTGGGTGATATTGAACAGATTCCCATTGTGATGAGTGAGTGGGTGACTTTCAACAGGTTCCTGATGTGATGAGTGAGTGCTGGACAGTTAAGAGGTTACAATTGTTATGAATGAGTGGAAGACAGTGAAAGGGTTCCCACTCTAATGAGTGAGTGGCTGACAGTGAACAGGTCCCCACTTTGAGAATGTATGGGTGACAGTGAACAAGTGGTTAATAGTGAACAGGTTCCCATTATAATGAGTGAGTGGGTGACAGTGAAGAGGTTCCCATTGTGATAAATGAGTGGCTTATAGTGAACGGATTTCTACTCTGATGAATGTTGACAGTGAACAGGTTGCCACTGTAGTAAATAAGTGGCTGACATGGAACAGGTTCTCAGTGTGGTGAATGAGTGGGTTAGAGTAAACAGGTTTCTTCTGTAATGAACCAGTGGGCAATGAACAGGTTCCCACTGTGGTGGATGAGTAAGTGACAGTGAACAGGTTCACACTGTGGTGAATGAGTGGCTGACAGTGAACAGGTTCTCACTGTGATAAATCAGTGCGTGACAGTGAACTGCTTCCCACTGAGGAGAATGAGTGACTGAGAGTGAACATGTTCCCAATGTTATGAGTGAGTTGGTGACAGAGAAAATGTATCACTGTGATGCATGAGTGGGTAACAGAGAACAGGTTTCCATTGTAATTAGTGTGTGGATGACAGTGAACACGTTTCCACTGTGATGAATGAGTGGGTGACAGTGAACAGGTTCTCACTGTGATGAATGAGTGGTTGAGAATGAAGAAGTTCCCACTGTGGTGAGTGAGTGGGTGACATTGATCTGGTTCCCATTGTACTGAGTGTGTGGGTGAAAGTGAAGAGGTTCCCACTGTGATGAATGAGTTGCTTATAGTTAACGGGTTTCCACTGTGATGAATGAATGGGTGACAGTGAACAGGTTCCAACTGTGGGAAATGAGTGGCTGCCAGGGAAAAGGGTCTCGTTGTAATGAATGAGTGGGTGAGAGTGAACAGGATTCCACAGTGGTGAATGTGTGGTTGACACTGAAAAGGGTCTTACTGTGATGTATGTGTTGGTGACCATAAACAGGTTCCCACTGTGATGAGTGAGTGGGGGAGAGTTAACAGGTTCCCACTGTGGTGAATGAGTGGCTGACAGTGAATAGGTTTCCACTGTGATGAATGAGTGGCTGACAGTGAACAGGTTCCCACTCTGGTGAATAAGTGGGTGACAAAGAACAGGCTTCCACTGTGATGAGTGATTGCATGAGAGGGAACAGTTGCCTTTTGTTATGAATGTGTGAGTGACTGTGAACAGGGTTCCCACTCTGATGAATGAGTGTGTGACAGTGAAGTGTTTCCCACAGTGGTGAATGAGTGGGTGACAGTGAACAGGTTCCCACTGTGAGGAATGAGTAGCTCACAGTAAAGAGGTTCCCACTGTGATGAGTGAGTGGGTGACAGTGAACAGGTACCCACTGTGATGAGTGAATGGGTGACAGTTAAAACTTTCCAACTGTGATAAGTTAGTGGGTGACAGTTAACAAGTTACCATTGTCATGTATGAGTGGGTGAGAGTGAACAGGTTCCCACTGTGGTGAAAGAGTGATTGACCATGAAAAGTATCTCACTGTGATGAGTGTGTGGGTGAGAGTGAATAGGTTCCCACTGTGATAAATGTGTAGGTAACCATTAACAGGATCCCACTGAGATGAATGGGTGGGTGACAGTCAACAGGTTCCCAATGTGTTGAATGTGTGGGTGAGAGTGAATAGGTTCCCACTGTGGTGAATGAGTGGCTGACATTAAACCCATTCCCACTGTGGTTAGTGAGTGGGTGAGAGTGAATAGGTTCCCACTGTGGTTATTGGGTGGCTGACAGTGAACAGGTTCCCACGCTGGTGAGTGAGTGGGTGACAATGAATATTTTCCCACTGTGATGAGTGAGTAGGTGACAGTGAACAGGTTCCCACTGTGGTGAGTGGGTGGCTGACTGAGAACAGCTTCCCAATGTGGTGAACAAGTGGGCGAGTGAACAGGTTCTCACTGTGATGAATAAGTGGGTGACAGTGAACAGGTTTCCATGGTGATGAATGAGTGGGTGACAGTGAAAAGTTTCCTCTTGTAATTAATGAGTGGGAGACTGTGAACAAGTTTGCACTGTGATGAATGAGTGGGTAACAGAGAACAGCGTCCCACCGTGGTGAATGAGTGGCTGAAAGTAAACAGGTTCCCCTTGTGGTGAACGAGTGGCTGATAGTGAACAGTTTCCCACTGTGATGAATGAGTTTGTGACCATTAACTGGTTCCCATTGTGATGAGTGAGGGGCTGACAGTGAACAGGTACCCACTGTGATGAATGTGTGGCTGACATTGAACAGGTTTTCATTGTGGTGAATGAGATGGTGACAGTGAAAAGGTTTTTACTGTGGTGAGTGAGTGGGTGACAGTGAACAGGTTTTCACTGTGAGGAATGAGTGGGTGAAAGTGAACATGTTCTAACAGAGATGAAAGAGTGGGTGACAGTCAGAAGTTTCCCACTGTGCTGAATGAGTGGGTGAGAGTGAAGAGGTTCCCACTGTGGTTATTGGGTGGCTGACAGTGAGCAGGTTCCCAAGCTGATGAGTGAGTGGGCAACAATGAATATTTTCCCACTGTGATGAGTGAGTAGGTGACAGTGAACAGGTTCCCACTGTGGTGAGTGGGTGGCTGACTGAGAACAGCTTCCCAATGTGGTGAACAAGTGGGCGAGTGAACAGGTTCTCACTGTGATGAATAAGTGGGTGACAGTGAACGGGTTTCCATGGTGATGAATGAGTGGGTGACAGTGAAAAGCTTCCTCTTGTAATTAATGAGTGGGAAACAGTGAAAAAGTTTGCACTGTGATGAATGAATGGGTAACAGTGAACAGGATCCCACAGTGGTGAATGAGTGGCTGAAACCGAACAGGTTCCCCTTGTGGTGAATGAGTGGCTGATAGTGAACAGTTTCCCACTGTGATGAATGAGTTTGTGACAGTTAGCTGGTTCCCATTGTGATGAGTGAGGGGCTGACAGTGAACAGGTACCCACTGTAGTGAATGTGTGGCTGACATTGAACAGGTTTTCATTGTGGTGAATGAGATGGTGACAGTGAACAGGTTTTTACTGTGGTGAGTGCGTGGGTGACAGTGAACAGGTTTTCACTGTGAGGTATGAGTGGTTGACAGTGAACATGTTCTAACAGAGATGAAAGAGTGGGTGACAGTGAACTGCTTCCCACTGTGGTGGATGAGTGGCTCACAGCAAACAGGTTCCCAGTATGGTGCCTGAGTGGCTGACAGTAAACAGGGTTTTACTGCGGTTAACGAGTGGGTTACAGTGAACTGGTTCCCACTGTGGTGAGTGAGTGGCTGACAGTGAGTAGGCTGCCACTGTGATGAATGAGTGGCTGACAGTGAACAGGTTCACACTCTAGTGAGTAAGTGGGTGACAGTGAACAGGTTCCCACTTTGATGAGTGAGTGCGTGAGATCAAACAGTTTCCTTTTGTAATGAATGTGTGAGTGACTGTGAAATGGTTCCCACTCTGATGAATGAGTGGGTTACAGTGAAGACGTTCACACTGTGGTGAATGAGTGGGTGAAAGTGAACTGGTTCCCAATGTGAAGAATGAATGTGTGACAGTGAAGAGCTTCCCAGTGTGATGAGTGACTGGTTAAGGTGAACAGGTTCCCAATGTGGTGAATGAGTGGGTGAGAGTGAACAGATTTCCACTGTGATGAGTGACAGACTGACAGTGACAGGTTAGCACAGAGGTGAGTGAGTGGGTGACAGTGATCAGGTTTCCACTGTAATGAATGAGTGGGAGACAGTGAACACTTTCCTTCTGTAATGAATGAGTCCATGAAGGTGAACAGGTTCCCTCTGTAATAAATGACTGTGTGACAGTGAAGAGGTTCCCACTGTGATGAATGAGTGGGTGACAGTGAATGGTTCCCACTGTGGTGAATGAGTGCCTGAGAGTAAACAGGTTCCAATCGTAGTGGCTGAGTGGCTGACAGTGAACAGGTTTATACTGTGGTGAGCGAGAGGGTGAAGGTGAAATGGTTCCCACTGTGGTGAATGAGTAGGTGAGAGAGAACTGATTACCACTGTGGGGAATGAGTGTTTGAAAGTGAACAGGTTCATTCTGTGGTGAATGTGTGGGCGACAGTGAATAGGTCCCAACTGTGATGAATAAGTGGGTGACGCTAAACAGGTTCCCATTTTGGTCAACGTATGGCTGACAGTGAATAGGTTTTTACTGCGGTTAACGAGTGAGTGACAGTGAACAGGTTCCCACTGTAATGAATAACTTGCTGACAGTAAAGAGGTTCCTCCATTAATGAATAAGTGGGAGATAGTGAACAGGGTCCCACTTTGGTGAATGAGTGAGTGAGAGTGAAAAGATTCCCACTGTGTTGAATGTGTGTCTGATAATGAATAGGTTCTCACTGCGATGAGTGAGTGGGTGACAGTGAACAGGTTCCCACTGTGATGAATGTGTGGGTGACAGTGAACAGGTTCTCACTGTGGTGAATGAGTGAATGACAGTGATTCTCACTGTGGTGGATGAGTGGCAGAAATTAAACAGGTTCTCTTTGTGGTGACTGAGTGGCTTACAGTGCACAGGTTTCTCGTGCAGTGAACGAGTGAATGACAATGAACTACTTCCCACTGCTCTCGATGAGTGGGTGAGAGTAAAATGGCTCCCACTGTGATAAACGAGTGGCTCACAATGAATAGGTTACCACAGTGATGAATGAGTGGGCGACAGTGAACAGTTTCCCAGTGTGATTTATGAGTGGGTGACCGTGAACTGGTTCCCACTTTGGCGAATAATTGGGAGACAGTGAACAGGTTTCTACAGAGGTGAATGAGTGGGTGACAGTGAACAAATTTCCACTATTGGGAGTGAGTGGCTGAAAGTGAACGGGTTTCCACTGTGGGAAGTGAGTGGCTGACATTAAACAGGTTTAATGTGATTAATCACTGTGATTAATGAGTAGGTGACAGTAAACACGTTCCTCCTGTAATGAATGAGTGTGTGACAGTGAACAGGTTCCCACCATAAAGATTTAGTGGGTGATAGTAAACGGGTTGCCACTGTGGTGAATGTTTGGGTGAGAGACAAAATGTTCCCACTGTGGTGAATGAGTGGCTAACAGTGAAGTTTCTCACTGTCATAAGTGAATGGATGACAGTGAACAGGTTCCCACTTTGATGAATGTGTGTGTGACAGCGAACAGATTACCACTGTGATGAATGGGTGGGAGACAATCAATAGATTCCCCACTGTCGTGAATGAGTGGGTGGGAGTGGACACGTTCCCACTGTGGAGAATGAGTGGCTGACAGTGAGCAGGTTCCCACTATGGTGTGTGAGTGGGTGACAGTGAACAGGTTCCCATTATGAGGAGTGAGTGGGTGACAATAAATAGGCTGCAGTGTGATGAATGAGTGGGGTGACAGTGAACAGGTTCCAACTGTGATAAATTATTGAGTGACAATGTGCAGCTTCCCACTGTGATGAATGAGTGGTGGCAGTGAATCCGTTTGCATTGTGATGAGTCAGTGAGTGACAGCGAAAAGATTCAAACTGTGATGAGTGACTGGGTGACTTTTGACACATTCTTGATTTGATCAGTGAGTGGGTGACAGCGAACAGGTTACAATTTTGATGTATAAGTGGGTGACAGTGAACAGGTTCCCACTCTAATGAGTGAGTGGGTGACAGTGAACAGGTTCTCACTGAGAGAAGGAATGGGTGGCAGTGAACAGATTTTAACAGTGGTAAGTGAGTGGGTGAGTATGAACAGATTCTCACTGTGGTTAGTGAGTGCTTGACAGCCAAGAGGTTCCCACTGTGATGATTGAGTGGGTGTGAATGAACAGGTTCCCACTGTGGTGAATGAGTGGTCAACAGGGAACAGGTTCCCACTGTAATGAGTGAGTGGGTGACAGTGAAGAGGTTCCGACTGTGATGAATGAGTGGCTTATAGTGAACGGGTTCTGACTGTGATGAATGAGTGGGTGACAGTGAGCAGGTTTCCTCTGTGGTGAATGAGTGGCTGACATAGAACTGGTTCTCACTGTGGAGAATGAGTGGTTTAGAGTGAATAGGTTCCCACAGTTGTGAGTGTGTGGTTTACAGTGAACAGGTTCTTACTATGATGAAGGAGAGGGTGACAGTGAGCAGGTTCCCACTGTAATGAGACAGTGGGTGACAGTGAACAGGTTCTGACAGTTTTGAGTGAGTGGGTGACAGTGAACAGGTTCCCACAGTAGTGAATGAGTGCTTGACAGTGAACGGGTTTCCACTATGATGAATGAGTGTGTGACAGTGAACATGTTCCCACTCTAATGACCTTGTGGGTGACAGTGAACAGGTTCTTCCCACAATGAATGATTGGGTGACAACGAACAGGTTTGCACGGTAATGAAAGAGTGGGTGATAGTGAACAGGTTCGCACTGTGGTGAATGTGTGGCTGAAAGTGGACATGTTGTCCCTGTGGTGAATGACTGGCTGACAGTGAACAGGTTTCCACTGTGATGAATGGGTGACAGTGAATAGGTTCCCAATGTGTTGAGTGAATAGCTGACAGTGAAGAGGATCCCACTGTGATTAATGAGTGCCTGACACTGAACAGGTTCCCACTATGGTGAATGTGTAAGTGAGAGTGAACATGTTCCCACTGTGGTGAGTGAAAGGTGGACAGTGAAAGTTCCCATCCTGATGAGTAAGTGGGTGAGAATGAACAGGTTCTAACTGTAATGAAACAGTGCATGACAGTGAACGGTTTCCTGCTGTGGAGAATGTTTGACTGACAGTGAATATGTTCCCAAAGTGATGAGTGAGTGGATGACAGTGAACAGGTTCCCACTGTGATGAATGAGTGGCTTATAGTGAACGGGTTCTGACTGTGATGAATTAGTGGTGACAGTGACCAGGTTCCCAATATGGTGAATAAGTGGCTGATGTAGAACTTGTTCTCACTGTGGTGAATGAGTGATTTAGAGTGAAGAGGTTCCCACAGTTGTGAGTATGTGGTTTACAGTGAACAGGTTCTTACTGTGATGAATGAGAGGACGACAGTGAGCAGGTTCCCACTGTAATGAGAGAATGGGTGACGGTGAACAGGTTCCAACAGTTTTGAGTGAGTCGTTGACAATGAAGAGGTTCCCACAGTAGTGAATGAGTGCTTGACAGTGAACAGGTTTCCACTGTGATGGATGAGTGTGTGACAGTGAACAGGTTCCCAATCTAATGACTTTGTGGGTGACAGTGAACAGGTTCCTCCTGTAATGAATGATTGGGTGACAATGAACAGGTTCACACTGTGATGAATTAGTGGTTGAGAATGAACTAGTACCCACTTTGGTGAGTGAATGGTTGACATTGATCAGGTTGTAATGAGTGTGTGGGTGACAGTGAAGAAGTTCCCATCAGGATGCATGAATGGCTTATAGTTAATGGGTACACACTGTGATGAATGAGTGGGTGACAGTGAACAGCTTCCCACTCTGGGGAATGGTTGGCTGACAGGGAAAACGTTCACATTGTGGTGAATGAATTGATGAGAGTGAACAGGTTCCTACAGTGGTGAATATGTCGTTGACAGTGATAAGGTTCTTACTGTAATGAATAAGTTGGTGACAGTGAACAGGTTCCCACTGTGAAGAGTGAGTGGGTAACAGTGAACAGGTACCCACTGTGGTAAAAGAGTGCCTGACAGTGAACAGGTTCCCACTGTGATGCATGAGGTGGTGAGAATGAGCATGTTCCAACCGTAGTGAATGAGTGGGTGAGAGTGAACAGGTTCCCATGATGATGAGTGAGTGGGTGTCAGTGAATAGGTTGCCACTGTGGTGAGTGACTGGGTGACAGTGAACATGTTCTCACTGTGATGAATGAGGGAGTTACAGTAAACAGTTTTCCCCTGTAATGGATGAGAGGGTGACAGTGAACAGGTTCCAACTGTGTTGAATGAGTGGGTGACAAAGAGATTCCCACAGTGGTGAGTGAGTTATTGACAGTGAACTGGTTCTCAATGTGGTGAACAAGTGGCAGACAGTGAACAGGTTTCCACTGGAGTGACAGTGGTTGACAGTGAATAGGTTTCTACTGTGGTGAACGAGTGGGTGACAGTGATCAGGGTTTTTTTGTAATGAATAACTCGGTGACAGTGAATAGGTTCCCACTGTAATGAATGAGTGGCTGACAGGCAACAGGTTCCCACTGTTGTGAATGAGTGGCTGACTGTAAAGAGGTTCCCACTTTGATGAATGAGTGGGTGACAGTGAACATGTAACCACTGTGGTGAATGAGTGGGCGACAGTGAACAAGTTTCCACCATGATGAATGGGTGGGTGATAGTGAACACTTTCCCACTTTGGTGAGTGACTGGGTGACAGTAAACAGGTTCTCACAGTGATGAATAAGTGGGTGACAGTGAACAGGTTTCTCCTGTAATTAATGAATGGGTGATAGTGAACAGGTTCTCAATATGAAGAATGAGTGGGTGACAGTGAAGAGGCTCCCACTGTGGTGAATGTGTGTTTTATAGTTAAGAGGTTCCCACTGTGATAAATGAGTGGGTGGCAATGAACAGGTTCCTCATGTAATGAATGCGTGGGTGACAGTGAACAGGTTCCCACTGTGATGAATGAATGAGTGACAGTGAACAGGATCCCACTGTGGTGAATGAGTGGGTGATAGTGAACAAGTTCCCACTGTGGTGAATGAGTAGGTGACAGTGAACAGGTTCCCACTGTGAGGAATGAGAGGGTGACAGTGAGCAGGTTCTCACTGTGATGAGTGAGTGGCTGACAGTAACCTGGTTCCCACTGTGGTGACTGAGTGGCTGATGGTGAACAGATTCCTACTAAGTTGAAGGAGATGGTGACAGCGAACTCATTCCAACTGTGGTGAATGAGTGGCTTACAGGGAACAGGTTCACATGTGATGAGTGACTGACTGATAGTGAACATGATCCCACTGGGGTAAATAAGTGTATGACAGTGTACAGGTTTCTACTGTAATTAGTAAGGGGGTGGCGGTGATTAAGTTATTCCTGTAATGAATAAGTGGGTGACAGTGAACAGGTGTTGACTGTGATGAATGAGTGGCTAACACTGAACGGGTTTCCACTCTGATGAGTGAGTTGGTGACTCTGAACACGTTTCTACTGCGGTGGTCTGGTGGGTGAAAGTGAACTGGTTTGAATGAGTGACTGACAGTGAACAAGTTCCCGCAGTGATGAATGTGTGAATCACAGTCAACAGGTACCTTCTGTAATGAATGAGTGCTTGGCAGTGAACAGGTTCCCACTGTGATGAGTGTGTGATAGTGAATAGGTTCCTTCTGTAATAAACGAGTGGGTGACAGTGAACAGGTTTCCACTATGATGAATAGGTGGATGACAGTGAACTGGTTCTCACTGTCATAAATGAGTGGGTGAGAGTGAACAGGTTTCCACGTTGATGAATAAGTGGGTGACAATAAATATATTCCCAGGGTGGTGAGTGAGTGGGTGAGAGCGAACAAGTTCCCATTGTGGTGATTGCGTGCCTGACAGTGAAAAGTTCCCCACTCTGGTGAATGTGTGGTAACAGTGAACAGTTTTCCACTGTGATGAGTGAGTGTGAGACCATGAATAGGTTCACAGTGTGGTTATTAAGTGGGTGACAGCAAACAAGTTCTCACTCTGATGAGTGAGTGGGTGACAGAGAACAGGTTCAAACACTGATAAATAAGTGTGTGACAGAGAACAGGCTCCCACTGTGGTGAATGAGTGGGTGAGAGTGATATGGTTCCCAATGTGGTGAGTGTGTGACAGTGAACAGGTTCTCATTGTGATGAGTGAGTGGGTGACACTGAACAGGTTCACACTGTGGTGAATGAGTGGCTAACATTGAACAGGTACTCATTGTAATGAGTGAGTAGGTGAGAGTGAACAGGTTCCCAATGTGGTCAATGAGAGGGTGACAGTGAAAAGTTTCCAACCATGATAAGTGAGTTGGAGAGACTGAACCGGTTCCTACTGTGGAGAATGAGTGGCTGACAGGGGACATGTTCCCACTGTGGTGAAAGAGTGACAGTGAACAAGTTCCCACTGTGGTGAATGAGTGGCTGACATTTAACATGTTCCCTCTGTGATGAATGACTGGGTGACAGTGAACAGGTTCCCGATGAGATGAGTGAGTGGTTGACAGTGAACAGGTACCCACTGTGATGAGTGAGTGGCTGACAGTGAACAGATTCTTAACTCTGATGAGTGAGTGGTTGACAGTGAAAACGTTTCTACTGTGATAAATGTGTGGGTGACAGTGAACAGGTTCCCACTGAGGTGAATGAGTGGCTAAAAGTGAACAAGTTCCTACTGTGATGACTGAGTGTGTTACAGTTTACAGGTTCCCGCTGTGGTGAATGAGTGGGTGACAGTGAACACGTACCCACTGTGGTGAGTGAGTGGGTGACAGTGAACAGGTTACCACTGTGATGCATGAGGTGGGGACAGTGAACAGGTTCTCACTGTGATGAATGAGTGGGTGACAGTGAACTCGTTCCCACAGTGATGAATGAGTGGCTGACAGTGAATAAGTTTTTAGTGTGATGAATTAGTGACTGACAGTGAACAGGTTCCCACTGTGGTAAATGAGTGGGTGACAGTGAACAGGTTTCCACTGTGAAGAATGAGTGGGTAACAGTGAACGGGTTTCTGGTGTAATGAATGAGTGCATGACATAGAACACGTTCCCACTCTGATGAATGGGAGGACGACAGAGAAGAGTTTCCCAGTGTGGTGAATGGTGGGGTAACGTGGAACAGGTTCCCACTGTGATGAATGAGTGGGTGACAGTAAACAATTTTTCACGTGATGACTGAGTGGCTGACAATAAACAAGTTCCCACAGTGGTGACTGAGTGGCTGACAATGTACGGGTTTCTACTGCGGTAAACAAGTGAGTGAAACTGAACTGTTTTCCGCTATGGTGAATGAGTGTCTGAACAGGTTTCCACTGTGATCAATACGCTGGTGAAAATGAACAGGCTCCCCCTGTGATGAATGAGTGTCTGACAGTGAACAGGTATCCACAGTGATGAGTGAGTGTGTGACAGTGAACAGGTTTTTACTGTGGTGAAAGAGTTGGTGACAGTGAACAGGGTGCCACTGTGGTGAATGCATGACTCACAGTGAGCAGTTTCACACTGTGATGAATGAGTGGCTGACACTGAACAGAATCCCAATGTGATGAGTGAGTTGATGAGAGTGAACTGGTTCTCACAGTGATGAATGAGTGGGTGAAAAGAACAGGTCCCACTGTGGTGAATGAGTGGCTAACAGTTAAAAGGTTATCACTCTGGTGAATGTGTGAATGAGAGTGAACAAATTCCCACTGTGGTGAATGAGTGGCTGACATTGAACAGGTTCCCATTGTGATGAATGAGTGTGTAACAGTAAACACGTTCCCACTCTGATGAGTGACTCAGTGACAGTGAACAGTTTCCAAGTGTGGTGAGTGGGTGACAGTAAACTGGTTTCTACTGAGGTAAATGAGTGGCTGACAGTGATCAGCTTTGCACTGTGATAAATAAGTGGCTTACAGTGAAGAGGTTCCATCGTGGTGAATGAGTGGGTAACAGTGAACTGGTTGCTACTATGGTGAATCAGTGTCTGACAGTGAACAGGTTTCCAGTGTGATGATTGAGTGGCTGACAGTGAACACTTTCCCAATATGGTGAATGTGTGGGTGACAGTGAACAAGTTTCTACTGTGGTGAACGAGTGGGTGACAATGAGCAGGTTCCTTCTGTAATGAATGAGTGGGTGACAGTGAACGGGTACCCACTGTGATGAATGAGTGGCGGACAGTGTACAGATTCCCACTGTGATGAGTAAGTTGGTGGCAGTGAACAGATTTCTGCTGTGGTAAATGAGTTGGTGACAGTGAACAGGTTCCCACTCTTGTGAATGAGTGGCTGACAGTGAACAGGTTCCCACTGTAATGAATGAGTGGGTGATGGTGAACAGGTTCCTCATGTAATGAATGTGTGGGTGACAGTGAAAAGGTTCCCATTGTGATGAATAAGTGAGTGACAGTAAACAGTTTCCCACTTTGGTGAATGAGTGGGTGACAGTGAACAGGTTCCAACTGTGATGAATGAGAAGCTGACAGGGAACAGGTTCTCACTGTGATGAATGAGTGGCTGATATTGAACCGGTTCACACTGGGGCGAATGAGTGGGTGACAGTGTACAGGTTTCTACTGTGGTGAATGCGTGGGTAACAGTAATTAAGTTACTCCTGTGATAAATAAGTGGGTGACAGTGAACAGGTATTCACTGTCATGAATGAGTGGCTAACACGGAACAGCTTCCCACTGTGATGAGTGAGTTGCTGACTGTTAACAGGTTTCTACTGTGGTTAACTAGTGGGTGACAGTGAACTGGTTCCCACTGTGGCAAATTAGTGACTGACAGTGAATAAGTTCCCACTGCAATTAATGTGTGTGTTACAGTCACCAGGTTCCAACTCTAATGAATGAGTGCGTGACAGTGAACAGGTTCCCAGTGTAATGAAAGAGTGTGTGACAGTGAACAGGTTCTTCCTGCAATAAATGAGTGTTTGACAGTGAACAGGTTCCCATTGTGATGAACAGGTGGGTGACAGTGAGCTGGTTCCCATTGTCGTAAATGAGTGGGTGAGAGTGAACAGGTTTTCACTTTGATGAATGAGTGGGTAACAGTTAAAATTTTCCCACTGTGGTGAATGCATAGGTGAGAGTGAACAGATTCCAACTGTGATGAATGAGTGGGTGACAGTGAACAAGTTCCTCATGTAATGAGTGCGTGGGTGACAGGGAACAGTTTTCCACTGTAATGAATGAGTGAGTGACAGTGAACAGGTTCCCACTGTGGTGAATCAGTGGGTGACAGTAAACAGGTTCCCGCAGGGAAGAATGAGAAAGTGACAGTGAGCAGGTTCCCACTATGATGAGTGACTGGCTGACAGTAAAATGGTTCCCACTGTGGTGACTGAGTGGCTGATAGTGAACAGGTTCCTACTAAGGTGAATGAGTGGGTGACAGTGAACTTGTTCCCACAGTGGAGAATGAGTGGCTGAAATACAGGATGTTCTCACTGTGATGAATGAGTGAATGACAGTGAACAGGTTCCCACTGAGATGAGTGAGTGGTTGACAGTGAACTAGTTCCCACTGTGATGAATGAGCGGATGACAGTGAACACGTTCTCACTGTGATGAATGAGTGGGTGACAAAGAACTGGTTCCTGCTTTGTTGAATGAGTGGCTGAAAGTAAACAGGTTCCCACTGTCATCACCATGGGGCTGACCATGAACAGGTTTCGACTGCGGTGAACAAGTAGGTGACAGCGAACTGGTTCCCACTTTTGAGAATGAGTGGGTGACAATGAAATTTCCCACTGTGGTGAATGAGTGACTGCAAGTAAACAAGTTTCTACTCAGGTCATCAGGTGGGTGACAGTGAACAGGTTTTCACTGCGGTGAGTGAGTGGCTGACAGTAAGCAGGTTACCACTGTGGTGAATGAATGGCTGACAGTGAACAGTTTCCCACTGTGATGAAAGAGTGTGTTACTGTTAACAAGTTCTTCCTGTAATGAATGTGTGGGTGACAATGAACAGGTTCCCACTGTGTTGAATAAGTGGGTGAGAGTGAACAGGTTCTCAATGTGATGAACGAGTGGCTTACAGTGCACATGTTCAAAACGTGACTAGTGAGTATGTGAGAGTGAACAGGTTCCCACTGTGATGAATCAGTGAATGACAGTGAAAAGGTTCCCACTGTGATGAATGAGTGGGTGACAGTCAACAGATTACCACATGGTGACTGAGTGGGTCAGAGTGAATAGGTTCCCACTGTGGTGAATGAGTGGCTGAGAGTGAACAGGTTCCCACTATGATGAGTGATTGGATGACAGTGAACAGCTTTCCACTGTGATGAGTGAGTGGATGACAATGAATAGCTTGCCAGTGTGATGAATGAGTGGGTGACAGTGAAAAGGTTCCCACTGTGATGAATGAGTAGCTGACAGTTTACAGGTTCCCAATGTGATGAATGATGGACTGACAGTGAACAGGTTTTCACACTTGTGAGTGAGTGGGTGACACTGAGCAGGTTCCTACTATGATGAGTGAGTGGGTGCCAGTGAATAGGTTCCCAATCTGATGAATGTGTGAGTGAGAGTGAACAAGTTTCCACTGTGATGAATGAGTGGGTGACAGTGAGCAGGTTCCCATTGTGATGAATGAGTGGCTGACAGTGAGCAGGTTCCCACTGGAGATAAATGAGTGGGTGACAGTGAACAGGTTCCTTCTGTAATGAAGGGTGGGTGACAGTTAACAGGTTCCCACTGTGATGAATGAGTGGGTGACAGTGAATAGGTTTCCAATGTGGTGAATGAGTGGCTGAGAGTTAACAGGTTTCCACTGTGATGAGTGAGAGAGTGAGAGTGAACAGGTTCCCACAGTGATAAATGAGTGTGTGACAGTAAACAGGTTCCTACTGTGATGAATGAGTGGATGACAAGAGGTTCCCGATGTGGTGAATGAGTGGGTGAGAGTGAACAGGTTCCCACTTTGGTGGAATAGTTTGTGAGAGTGAACAGGTTCCCACTCTGGTGAGTGAATGAGAGTGAACAGTTTCCCACTGTGATAAATGAGTGTGTGACAGTGAACAGGTTCCTACTGTGATGAATGAGTGGGTGAAAATCAACAGGTTCCCGATATGGTGAATGAGTGGGTGAGAGTGAACAGATTCCCGCTCTGGTGAATGACAACCCGACAGTGAACAGGGTACCACTGTGATGCGTGATTGGCTGACACTGAACGAATTCGCACTGTGGTGAATGAGTGGTTTAGAGTGAATCGGTTGCCACTGTGATGAGTGAGTGCGTGTGAGTGAACAGGATCTCACTGTAGTGAATGAGTGGGTGACAGTGAACAGGTCTCCACTGTGGTGAATGAATGAGTGAGAGTGACCATGTTCCCCCTGTGATAAATGAGTGTGTGACAGTGAACAGTTTCCTACTGTGATGAATGAGTGGGTGACAATCAACAGGTTCCTGATGTGGTAAATGAGTGGATGAGAGTGAACAGTTTCCCACTGTGGTGAAAGAGTTGGTGAGAGTAATCAAGTTCCCACTGTGGCTGATAGTGAACAGGCTCCCACTGTGATGAGTGAGTGCATGTGAGTGAACAGGATCTCACTGTAGTGAATGAGTGGGTGACAGTGAACAGATTCCCACTGTAGTGAATGAGTGGGTGAGAGTGAACAGTTTCCCACTGTGGAATGAGTGGCTGTCAGGGAACAGGTTCCCACTGTGGTGAATTAGATGGTGACAGTGAATATATTTCTACTGTGATGAACGAGTGGGTGACAGTGATCAGGTTTCTCTTGTAATGAAGGAGAAGGTGACTGTGAACAGGTATCCACTGTGATGAATGAGTGGCTGACAATGAAGACATTTCCACTGGGATGAGTGAGAAGGTAACTGAACAGGTTTCTGCTGTAGTGAATGAGTGGGTGAGAGTGAACATGTTCCCACTGTAATGAATGAGTTGCTGACAGTGAACAGTTTCCCACTCTGATGAATGAATAAGTGACAGTGAACAGGCTCTTCCCGTAATGAATGGGTGGGTGACAGTGAACAGGATCCCACTGTGATGAATGAGTGGGTGACAATGAACAGGTTCTCACCGTGGTAAATGAGTGGGTAAGAGTGAAGAGGTTCCCACTTTGATAAGTGAATGGGTGACACTGAAGAGACTCCCACTGCGGTGAGTGAGTGTGTGATATGGAATTGGTTTTCACTGTGAAGAATTAGCGGGTGACAGTGAACAGGTTCCTCCTGTAATGAATGACTTGGTGACAGTGAACAGGTTCTCAATGTGATTAATGAGTGGATGGCAGTGTTGTGGTTCCCACTGTGGAGAATGAATGGGTGACATTCAACAGGTTCCCACAGTGATGAATGAGTGAATGACAATGAACAGGTTCCCACTGTGATGACTAAGTGACTGACAGTAAACAGATTCCACTCTGATGACTGCGTGGCTGACAGTGAAAAGGTTTCTACAGCGATGAATGAGTAGGTGACAGTGAAATGGTTCCTGCTGTGGTGAGTGAGTGGCTGATGGAAAACAGGTTCCCACTATGATGAATGAGTGACTGACTGTGAAAAGGTTCCTACTCTAGTGAACAGGTCAGTGACAGTTATCAGGTTCCTCCTGTAATGAATGAGTGGGTGACAGTGAAGAGGTACCCACTAGGAGGAATGAGTGGCTGTCTGTGAACAGGTTCTCCCTGGGATGAGTGAGTGGGTGACAGGGAACAAATTTCTGTTTCGGAGAACGAGTGGGTGACAGGGAAACGGTTAACTTTGGTGAATGAGTGCCTGACAGTGAACGGGTTCCCACTGTGATGAATGAGCGGCTGACAGTGAACAGGTTCTTTTTTCAATGAATGAATGGGTGACAGTAAACAGAATCCCAATGTAATGATTGAGTGGGTGACTGTGAAGAGGTAACCACGTTGGGGAGTGAGTGGGTGACAGTGAACAGGTTCCACTGTGATGAATGTGTTGGTGTCAGTGAACAGGTTCCTTCTGTAATGATTAAGTGAAAGTGAACAGGTTCCCCTGTGATGAATAAGTGGGTGACATTGAACAGGTTCCCACTGTGATTAATAAGTGAGTGACAGTGAGTGGGTTCCCACTGTGATGAGTGAGTCGCTGACAGTAGACAAGTTCCCACTCTGGTGACAGACTGGCTGATAGTGAACAAGTTTTTAATGCTGTGAATGAGGGGGTGACAGTGAAATTGTTCTCACTGTGGTGATTGAGTGGCTGAAAGAGAACTGTTTCCCACTGTGATGAATGAGTGGCTGACAGTGAACAGGTTCCCACTGTGGTGAGTGAGTTGGTGACAGTGAACTGGCTTCTACTGTGATTAATGAGTGGTTGACAGGATCAGGTTCCTCCCATAATGAATGAATGGGTGACAATGAACAGGTACCCACTGTGATGAATGAGTGGGGGACAGTGAACAGGTTCTCGCCTGATGAGTAAGTGACAGTGAGCAGGTTTCTACTGTGGTGAATGGGTGGGTGACAGTGAACAGGTTCTCACTTGATGAGTGAGTAAGTGACAGTGAGCAGATTTCTACTGTGGTGAATGAGTGGGTGACAGTGAACAGTTTCCCACTGTGGTGAAAGAGTGGCTGACAGTGAACAGGTTCCCACTGTAATGAATGAGTGGGTAACAGTGAAGAAGTTTCTCCTGTAAGGAATGAGTGGGTGACAGGAATAAGTTCCCACTGTAATGAATGCATTGGTGACAGTGAACAGGTTCCCACTGTCATAAATGACTGGGAGTGAAAAGGTCCCCACTGTGATGAATGATTGGGTTCAAGTGAACAGCTTCCTACTGTGATAAGTTAGTGGGTGAGAGTGAACAGGTTTCCACTGTGGTGAGTGGGTGAGAGCGAACAGGTTCCAACTGTGATGAGTGTGTAACAGTCAACAGGTTCCAACTGTCAGGAATGAGTGGATGAGAGTGTACAGGTTCACACTGTGATGAATGATTGGGTGCCAGTGAACAGGTTCCCACTGTGATGAGTGAGTGGGTGACACTGAACAGGATAGCACTGTGGTGAGTGAGTGCCTGACAGGGAACAGTTTCCCACTGTGGTGAATTAGTAACTGACAGTGAACAGTTTCCTAGTGTGATGAAAAAGGAGAGACAGTGAAAAGTTTCAAACTGTGAAGAATGAGCGAGTGACAGTGAACAAATTCCTCCTGTAATGAATTATTGGGTGACTGTGAAGACGTTTCCACTGTGATGAATGAGTGGATGACATTGAACAGGTTCCCACTGTGATGAGTGAGTGGTGACAATGAATAGGTTGCCAGTGTGATGAATGAATGGGTGACAGTAAGCAGGTTTCCTCTGTGATGAATGAGTGGGTGACAGTTAATAGATTCCTCCTGTAATGAATAAGTTGGTTACATCCAACAGATTCCCAATGTAATGAGGGAGCGGCTGAGAGTGAACAGGTTCCCACTGTGGTGAATAAGTGGGTAACAGTGAAGACGTTCCCTCTGTGATGAGTGAGTGGGTGACAGTGAACAGGTTCCCATTGTGAAGAGTGAGTGGGTGATAGTGAACAGGTTTTCACTGTGGTGAATAAGTGGCTGAGAGAGAAGAGGTAACCACTGTGGTAAATGTGTGACTGACAATGAACACGCTCCCAGTGTGAGAAATGAGTGGGTGACAGTGAACAGGTTCCCACTGTGATGAGTGAGTTGCTGACTGTAAGCAGGTTCTTAATGTGGTGACTGAGAGGCTGACAGTGAACAGGTTTCTACTGTGGCAAATGAGTGGGTGTCAGTAAACTGGTTCCCAACTTGGTGAATGACTGGCTGACAGTGAACATGTTCCCACTGTGAAAACGAGTGGCTGAAGGTGAACAGGTTCCTCCTGTAAAGAATAAGTGGGTAACAGTGAGCAGGTTACCACTGTGGTGAATGTGTGGATTATAGTGAAGAGGTTTCCACTTTAAAGACAGAGCGGGTGACAGTGAATAGGTTCCTCCTGTAATGAATGAGTGGGTGACAGTGAACAGGCTTCCACTGTGATGAATGCGTGGGTGACAGTGAACAGGGTCCCACTGTGTTGAATGAGTGGCTGACACTGAACTGGTTCCCACTGTGGTGAATGAGTGGCTCACAGTTAACAGGATCCCACTGCGATGAATGAATGACTGACAGTGAACAGGTTCCCACTGTGTTAAATGAGTGGATGACAGTGAACAGATTTCTACTGGGGTGAATGAGTGGGTGAGAGTTATCAGATTTATCCTGTAATGAATGAGTGGGTGACAGTGAACAGGTACCCACTGTGATGAATGACTGGCTGACAGTGAACATTTTCACACTGTGATGAGTGAGTGGGTGACAGTGGACAGTTTTATACTGCAGTGAATGCATGGGTGACAGTGAACAGGTTTCCACTGTGGTGAATAAGTGGCTGACAGTGAAGAGTTTCCCACTGTGATGAATGAGTGGGTGACAGTGGAAAGTTTTCTACTGCAGTGAACGAGTGGGTGACAGTGAACAGTTTCCCACTGTTGTGAATCAGTGGCTAACATGAACAAGTTCCCACTGTGATGAATAAGTGGGTGACAATGAACCAATTTCTCCTGTAATAAATGAGTGCGTGACAATGAACAGGTTTCCACTGTGATTAATGAGTGTGTGACAGTGAACAGGTTCCCACTGTGGTGAATGTGAGGGTTGGAGTAAAGAGGTCCCAACTTAGATGAATGAGTGGGTGACAGGGAACAGGCTTGTACTATGATGAATGCGTGTGTGACAGTGAACAGGGTCTTACTGTGGTGAATAAGTGGGTGACAGTGAACAGTTTCCCACTGTGCTGAATGAGTGGTTGACAGTGAAGAGTTTCCCACTGTAATAAATGAGTGGTTGAGAGTGAACAGTTTCCCACTGTGGTGAATGAATGGGTGCCAGTGAACCGGTTTCTACTGTGGTGAATGAGTGGGTGACAGTAATGGGGTACCTCCTGTAGTGAATGAGTGTGTGACAGTGAACAGCTGTCCACTGTCATGTATGAGTGGCTGACAATGAACAAGTTCTCACTGTGATGAGTGTGTGAGTGAGTCAATAGGTTTCTACTCTGGTGAATGAGTGCCTGATAGTGAACAGCTTTCCTCTGCGATGAATAAGGGTATGACAGTGAACATGTTCCCACTGTGATGAGTAAATGAGTAACAGTGAACAGGTTTCTACTGCGGAGAACATGTTGGTGACATTAAAAAGGTTCCCACTATGGTGAGTGAGTGGCTGACAGTGAATAGCTTCCCAATGTGATGAATGAGGGGCTGACAGTGAAGAGGCTCCTCCTGTAATGAATGAGTGGGTGACAGTAAACAGGTTCCCACTGTGATGAACGAGTGTGTGACAGTGAACAGGTTTCCACTGTGGTGAATGAGTTTGTGAGAGTGAAGAGTTTCGCACTGTGATGATTTATTACGTGACAGTGAACAAGTTCCCACTGTGGTTAATGAGTGGCTGACAGTGAACAGTTTCCTACTGTGATGAGTGAGTGAATGACAGTTAACGGGTTTTCACTGTGACTAGTGAGTGGGTGACAGTGAACAGTTTCCCACTGTGGTGGTAGAGTAGCTGATAGTAAACAGGTTCCCACAGTGATGAATGAGTGGCTGACAGTGAACAGATTTCCACTGTGGTGAGTGATTGAGTGACAGTGAACAGGTTTCTACTGTGGTAAATGAGTGCATGAGAGTGATCAGGTTTCTCCTGTAATGAAAGAGTGGGTGACAGTGAACATGTACCCATTGTGATGAATGGGTGGCTAACAGTGAACATGTTCACATTGTGATGAGTGAGTGGGTGACGGGACAAGTTTCTACTCCGGTGAATGTGTGTGTGATAGTGAACAGTGATAAATTAGTGCGTGACAGTGAGCAGGTTCCCACTGTGGTTAATGGTTGGGTGAGAGTGAACAGGTTTCCACTGTGATGATTGAGTGGGTGACAGTAAACAGGTTCCCACTGTGATGACTGAGTGGGTGACAGTGAACCGCTTCCTAATGTGGTGAGTGACAGGGTGACAGGGAACAGGTTTCCACTATGGTAAATGAGTGGCTGACAGTGAACAGGTTTCCACTGTGGTGAATGAGTGGGTGAGAGTTAACAGGTTTCTACTGTCGTGAACCAGTGGTGGATGGTGATCACGTTCCTCCTGTAATGAATGAGTGAATGACAGTGAACAGTTACCTACTGTGATTAATCAGTGTCTGACAGTGAACAGGATCCCACAGTGATAAATAAGTGGGTGACAGTGAACAGGTTTCTACTGCCGTGAACGACTGAATGAAAGTGAACTGGTTCCCACTATGGGGAATGTGTGGCTGACAGTTAACAAGTTCACACTCTGATGATGAGTGGGTGACATTGAACAGGTTCCCAAGGTGGTGAAGGAGTGGTTGAGAGTGAACAGGTTCCATCTGTGATGAATGAGTGGGTGACAGTGAATAGGTTCCTACTGTGATGAGTAATTGGGTGAGAGTGAACAGGTTCCTGTTGTGGTGAATGAGTGGCTGACAGTAAACAGGTTACTGCTCTGGTGAGTGAGTTTGTGAGAGTGAACAGGTTCCCACTGTGGTGAATGAGTGGCTGACATTGAACAGGTTCCCACTATGATGAATGAGTGGCTGACAGTTAACAGTTTCCCACTGTGATGAGGAAGTGTGCGACAGTGAACAGGTTCCCCCTGGGTGAGTGAGTGGGTGACAGTGAACGGGTTCCCAGAATGGTGAATGAGTGGCTGACAGTGACCATGTTCCCACTGGGGTGAATGAGTGTGTGACAGTGAACAGGTTTCTATAGTGGTGAACGCATAAGTGACAGTGATCAGTTTCCTCCTGTAATGAATTATTGGGTGACAGTGAACAGGTACCTACTGTGAGGAATGAGTGGCTGACAGTGAACAGGTTCCCACTGAGATGAGTGAGTGGGTGACAGTGATGATGTTCTCACTTTGGTGAATGAGAGAGTGAGAGTGAACTGGTTCTCACTGTGATGAATGAGTGGGTGACAGCAAATAGGCTACCTCTGTGATGGATGAGTGGGTCAGAGTGAACAGGTTCCCACAGTGATGAGTGAGTTGTTGATAGTGAACAGGTTCCTACTGTAGTGAATGTTTGTGTAAAAGTGTCCTTTTTCCCACTATGATGAGTGAGTAGGTGACAGTGAACGGGTTCCCACTATGATGAATTAGTGGGTGACAGTGAGCAGGTTCCCACTGTGAGAAAGGAGTGGGTGAAAGTGAACAGGTTCACACTGTGATGAGTGAGTGGGTGACCCTGAACAGGCTCCCACTGGGGTAAATGAGTGGGTGAGAGTGAATTACAACGGGTTCCCATTGTAATGAATGAGTGGGTGACAATGAATAGGTTCCCACTGTGAGGACTGTGTGGGTGACAGTGAACAGGTTCTCACTGTGATGAATGAGTGGGTGACAGTGAACAGGTTTTGAATGTGATGAATGAGTGAGTGACAGGGAAAAGGTTCACACTGTGATGAGTGAGTTGGTGACAGTGAACAGGTTCCCAGTGTTTTTAGTGAGTGGCTGACTGTGAACAGGTTCCCTCTGTGAAGAGTGAGTGGATGACAGTGAAAAAGTTCCCACTGTGATGATTGAGTGGGTGACAATGAACAGGTTCCCACTGAGGTAAATGAGTGGGTGAGAGTGAACAGGTTCCCACAGTGATGAGTGAGTTGGTGACAGTGTACATATTCCCACTGTGAGGACAGAGTGGGTGACAGTGAACAGGATCCCACTGTGATGAATGAGTGGCTGACAGTGAAGAGATTTTCACTGTGGTGAATGAGTGAGTGACAGTGATCAGGTTCCTCCAGTAATGAATGAGTGGGTTACAGTGACAGGTACCCACTCTGATGAATGAGTGGCTGACAACAGGTTTTCATTGTAGTGAGTGAGTGAGTGGTGACAGTGAACAGGTTTCTACTGAGGTGAACGAGTGGGTGACCGTGAACAGGTTTCCACAGTTGTGAATGAGTGGTTGATAATGAACAGATTCCCACTGTGTAGACTGAGTGGGTGACAGTGTACAGGTTCCTCCTGTAATGAATAAGTGGGTGACAGTGTACAGGTTCCTCCTGTAATGAATGAGTGGGTGACAGTTAGCAGGTTCCCAATTTGATAAATGAGTGGGTGACAGTAGTCAGGTTCCCACTGTGGTGAATAAGTGTGTGGGAGTGAACTGGTTCCCACTGTGGTGAATTTGTCAGTGAAAGTGAACAGGTTCCAACTTTGATGATTGAGTGGGTGACAGTGAACAAGTTCCCAGTGTGGTGAGTAAGTGGGCAACAGTGAACATGTTCACACTGTGATGAATGAGTGGGTGATAGTGAACAGGTTCCCAGAATGTAATGAATATGTGGGGGACAGTGAACAGGTTCCCACTGTGATGAATGAGTGGAAGACAGTGAACAGGTACCCCCTATGTTGAGTGAGTGGGTGACTGTGAAGAGGTTCTCACTGTGATGAATGTGTGGGTGAAAGTGAACTGGGTCCCACTGCAGTGAATGAGTAATTTACAGTAAAGAGTTTCCCAATGTGGTGACTGAGTGGCTGATAGTGAACCGGTTTTTACTGCAGCAAATGAGTGGGTGACAGTTAACTGGTTCTCACTATGGTGAATGATCAGGTGACAGTAAACTGGTTCTCACTGTGAAGAATGAGTGGGTGACAGTTAAATGTTCCTCTTGCAATGAAGGGGTGGTCGACAATGAACAGCTTCCCACTGTGATGTGTGAGTGGGTGACAGAGAAGAGGTTCCAACTGTGGTGAATGAGTGGGTGATAGTGAACAGGTTCCCACTGTGATAAATGAGTGGGTTAGGGTGAACAAGTTCCCAGTCTGATGAGGGTGTGGCTGACAGTAAACTGGTTCACACTGTTCTGACTGAGTGGCTGATAGTGAACAGGTTTCTACTGCTGTAAATGAGGGGATGACAGTGAACTGGTTCCCACTGTGGTGAATGAGTGGCTGACAGGAAACAGGTTACCAATGTGGTGAATTAGTGGCTGACAGTGAATTGGTTCCCACTGTGATGAATGAGTAGATGACAGTGATCAGGTTCCTGCTGTAATGATGGGATGGGTGACAGTGAACACATTACCACTGTGATGAATGAGTGAATGACAGTGAACACGTTCCCACTGTGGTGAATGAGTGGGTGACAGTGAAGAGTTTCCCACTGTGATGAGTGAGTGGCTGACAGTGAACAGGTTTCCACTGAGATGAATGAGTGGGTGAGAGTGAATAGGTTCCCATTGTGATGAATGAGTGTCTGACAGTGAACAGATTCCCACTGTTGTGAATTTGTGGGTGACAGTGAACAGGTATCCACTGTGGTGAAAGAGTGGATGACAGTGAACAGGTTTCCTCTATGATGAGTGAGTGGCTGACAGTGAAGAGGTTCCCACTGTGGTGAATGAGTGGGTAACAGTGAACAGGTACTCACTGTGGTGAATGAGTAAGTGACAGTGAACAGGTTCTCAGGGTGTTGAATGTGTTTGTGATAGTGAAATGGTTCCCAATATGTTGAATGAGTGTTTAACAGTAACAGGTTACCAATGTGGTGACTGCATGGCTGACAGTGAACAGGTTTTTACTGCTGTAAACAAGTGGGTGACAGTGAACTTGTTCCCACTGTTGTGAATGATTGGATGACAGCGAACAGGTTCTTACTGTGAAAATGAGTGTGTGACAGTGAAAGGTCTTTCGTTTAGTCTCTCAATTCATACAAAACTGCATCCAGGCCATCACCAATCATTCCATATGGCAGTTGCTGCTTCTAACAACCCCACAGTACTATCATGTACCCTAAAATCGCCCCACAGCCTAAACTTCTATTCCTCATCCTGTTATACTCCTTCTCACCTTCTCACCTATTATACTCCTTCTCACTCCTTCTCATCTTTATACTCCTTCTCACCTTCTCACCTTTAAGACTAAGTCAATGATGAACTCCTGGCAGCATCCAGACAAGACCAAGCTTCCATGCAACACCCCTTCCAAATGGCTGTCCAAACATACTTCCAGGCCTGCTTCACCCAGTCCTCTAAACGCTAATCTCTTAGGACCTGTTGTCTCTAAAAACAACTTTCTTCAGGCCTTGTCCTCCAAGATTTTCCCCACCCCCAAAATCAAAGATCTCTGGATTAAAAATCTAAAATGCCTGGATTGACAGGTGTCAAATCCTCACCCATGGTGTCCTCAGGCCTACTCATATAAAAATTACCAGCAATATGCATATACAGGACTAGTTCCACATATCTGGCATTCAGGTGAACATCCAGGACAACATATGGTCTGTCGTTGGTTGTTAGAAGGCCTAGGACATTTCTCTCTTTGCCAGCCCCAACTTATTCCAGGATACAGGGACTATTGTACTTATTATCTTTCCTGTATAAGGTCTGCAATCAGGACTATTGAACTCTTCCATTCAAAACTCCACTCACACCTTTAGGAAAAAGGTAATATAATAGACTTTTGGCTTCACTCTAGGGATCCTATTTGTAGGATGGAAAATGGAGACAAAAAGCTTTAGTATATAAAACATTATTCTTACCTTGGCCTAAAAACTCACTGCCACCTACCTTAAAGCTATTATGCTTAATTATGATTTTTTAGAGAATTTATTATATTAGGACAATTCCAAGCTCAAAAATATGCTAGCTGATGCCTTGTTTGCCACACAGAATTGTACCCAAAAACTTTCTAGACCAACTCACTATAAAATTAAATTTTCTTTAGGTGTTCACACCACCCCTAAGTCATGCCTGAAGCAGCCCTGAGAAACTTCACCCCTACCCCAATTATCCTCAGTAAAAACTTACATTTTCTTTATCTTATCTTGTAACTTTATATTTTATAAATAAAAAGACAGGAATGTCAGGTCTTTGAGCCAAAGCTCAGCCATTGTAACCCCTGTGACCTGCACATACACATCCAGGTGGCCTGCAGGAGCCAAGAAATCTGGGGCAGCTGAAAAAACACAAAACAAGTAAAAGAGCTAGTTCTTGCCTCAACTGATTAACCAACGTTACACCGTTACACCATTGTGACTTGTCCCTGCCCTACCTTAACTGATCAATCGACCTTGTGACATTCTTCTTCTGGACAGTGAGTCTTATGATCTACCCACCATGTACCTTGTGACCCCCTCCTCTGCTAACAATAGATAATAACCACCTTTTACTGTAATTTTCCATTACCTACCCAACTCCTATGAAGCAACCCCTTCCCCATCTCCATTCGCTGACTCTCTTCAGACTCAGCCCACTTACACCCAAGTGAATAAACAGCCTTATTGCTCACACAAAGCCTGTTGGTGGTCTCTTCACACGGACACGTGTGACAGTCATGAGGGCCCTTCGCAACTGGGCTCAAGGAGGTCAACTTATTTTTGCGATTGTCTATTGATTTCAATAACGAATGTGGAGGAATACATTGAAATAGAGATTTCTCCAAAACAGCACTGAATGAACACCTCAATAGGCTCACACAACTTGTTCCAGGACTTGGTGACCACTGTTTGTGTCCACATTCATATAGTTTAAATTTGCTATTTAACTTTGCCTCCACACCAGACTATGGAGGATTCACCACCAGACCAAGGAGCAACAGGCTGGACTCCAGAGTTGAACACCACACTCATCAGACTATGGAGGATTCACCACCAGACTGGGAAGCAACAGCTTGGGCTCAAGAGTTGGTCATCCATCCTTGCACAGATAAGGAGAGGTCTCCTGAAGCTTCGGTGTGGTCTGGGGCCCTAGCTCTTTTTGTAATGAGTTGTTTGGTATGAGGCCCAGTCATGAGGGCCCTTTGCGACTGAGCTCAAGGAACACAAAAAGGTCAACTTGTTTTCTTGTGATCGTCTATTGTTTTTCAATAACTAATGTGTAGGAATAGACTGAAATAGAGATTTCTCCAAAACAGTGCAGGATGAACACCTCAAGGGGGCTCACATAACCTGTTTCAGGACTTGGTGTCTATTTTTTGTGTCCATGTTTAATTGAGTTCAAATTTAATATTTAATTTTTCCTCCACAAATTCCTCTGTCTTGATGAATCAGCTCTCTCTGGGCAAAGGGCAAGGGGAACCCCTTGGGCTGTCACACAACCTCTGCCTCCTGGGTTCAAGCGATTCTCCTGCCTCAGCCTCCGGAGCATCTGGGACTACAGGTGTGCACCACCGTGCCTGGCTAATTTTTTGCATTTTTAGTAGAGATTGGGTTTAACCACGTTGGCTAGACTGGTCTCGAACTTCTGACCTCAAGTGATCTGCCCACCTTGGCCTCCCAAAGTGCTGGGATTAGAGGTGTGCACCACTGCATCTGGCCCTAAATGATTTCTTTCTATCTCCTATAACAGTTTGAAATTACTTAATGGTTGTTTCAAATAGAAAAAAAATAAAAAGAATGTAGAGAAAAAGAAAATATAAAAAGTTAAAAAAATTACAAGAGAATGCAAAATATATATGTAAATCTCGAGGTCAAAAATGACAAATTTGATTTATTTTTAAGGTTTTATTAAAATTAGCTTTAGTATTGATAATACGCTATTACCAAAGTAAAAGTTGATTTTCTCTTGAACAAAAATTTTATGTATTATTAATATGACAGCAAAGTACTTCTGTTCACCTTTTGAATATATTCAAAAAGACCGAGAGTGAAAAAGAGACAGAATTTTCTCATGTTCTGGGGTGGGCCTGGCTCAGCTCAGGGAGGAAGCCCTGCCTGAAAAGGCTGCAGCTTAGGCTGTTGCTCTTTCTTCACTCAGCCCAGCACCTGATCACATCTTCTGTCACTCAAGGCCTGAGGGGGCGGGACCTTAAGCATTATCCAATCAGGAACCCTGAGCTGGAAACCGTCCAATCAGACACTCAGCTGGAGAGAACAGGACAACTTCTGGGTTTGGCGCGGACTTTGTCTCTTGCTGCAGCAGGAGCTCCAGGTCTCGTCTTCAGTCCTCTGTGTCCTCTGCTCCTAGAGGCCCAGACTCTGTGGCTCTGTGTCCTGCCGGTATTGGGAGATCCACAGCTAAATGCTGGGACCTTCTGGAAGCCTAGAAATGGTGAGGGTGCCAATTGGACATCCCAAGAGAGGGGAGGGACTGGTTGGAATCAGTGGGAAGTGGCTGTGGTGGGATTCAGGCCTCCCCGAAGTCAGCTCCACAATCTGCGCCCTGAGGTGTCCTTGTCCAGCTCAGCCTCAGTCCCGTTCAGCCATAAGATGGCGGCTCCGCTGACAGGCAGGCCCCTGGGCATCCAGTCTCTTCCCTGTTCAGTGACTGTGCACTGGCCTGGAGCCCTCTCTGGGCAGCTCTGCACCCACAGCACGGCGTCTCTCCCAGATTGTGCAGGGACCATGGGAGGGTCATCAGGGGAGAATCTTGCGTCAGGGTGCAGGTTCATGAATGGGAAGAGCTTTGATCCATGGGGTTCACAGCTTCTCTTTTCTCCTATTAAAAATTTGTGGGGCCAGGCGCAGTGGCTCACTCCTTTAATCCCAGCATTTTGGGAGGCCCAGGTGGGTGGATCACTTGGGGTAAGGGGTTGTTAGGACAACAAAGATCCTTTTCAAAGACTCAACTTCCTGGTGATAAGTTGTAAAAGTTGTAAATCAACCACACCGCTTCTTCTTCCCTCTTCTCCCTTTCTCGCAAATCGCGCATTTACCCTATTTGGAAAAAGTTTGGGTCTAAGTCAACCGGGATCAGCTTAGATTGTTTGCTAGTGTTATATTTAAAGCTATTTTATTATTCTAGGCCATCCGGCTGGTACGTCCTAATTGCTTAGCTATCCCCTTGATGGCGTCCCTAGTGCAATTTGTGAATTGTTGCTGATTGTAATAGATATAGTGTATTTAGTTAACTTTTTTTATTTATAGTTACCTACCAGAACAACGTGGATTTAAATTTTGTAGCTATTTGATTTTGTGCTTTAAACTTATTTGGCACTTCTCACAGGACCTTAATAGCATTTACGTAAACCTGAGGATTAAAGGATTTATAAGGAGTTTCCCTTGGCCTGCACTGTTTTGTTTTTACTTTTTTTAGATTGATGAAATGCCAGGGTGAATGGGTTAGCCAACTGGATTAGAGGACAAGTACTGCTCCAATTATTTGGCAGTGTCCAGTAAAGGTCCTCCACAGTACAACCATACATTTGCTTGGGGATGGCTACGCATGGACTGATGGTCAAGCTCTTGGAAAGGATTGAGGTCTTTGCATCCTTTTATGCTTCCAAGGAACACCACATTTTCCCCTTGCTGTGAGAGGCACGAAGTAAACTTGGCCTCTAGAGGTGGAAGCTGGATTGCCCTCAGGGGCTGACTCTCAGGAAATAGCAGAGAGAGAGCTCAGCATGATGGATTATCCGAAGCAATGGGTTTCTGAAAGAGAGGCCCCATACAGTCCATATTTGGTTGACAAGAAGACCATCTGAGTGGAAAGGGGATAATCTGGGCCTCTGGCCTATGGTGTGAACAAGCATAATAATCACTTTTTTAAAAAGTCTGAACAGAATATTTAATCCATTCCAACCAGGCATTTGCATCTTGATATTTTATCTTGATGGCTAAGGTCTATCTTAGATCTCTTATTTTTACAATAGACACCCTAGTTTTATTATTAGATGTAGGAGCAACCGGTGTGGGATCTAGAACTGAGGCTACTGAAGAAGGGGAAGATGGGGGAATGATGCATATTTTAAAAATACCTAGGGGGTCTTTTCCATTTATGTCAATCCCCATACCATAGAAGCGACTAAGGGCAGGTCTAGAGTTAGTTAAGGTGGAGGTAGTGATAGAGAGAAGGACAGGGTTTCATTGATAAGGCTGACAGTTAGAAGGGGTAGTTCTTTTTGTGAAATAGATGAGGGGTTTTAGATATGCACAAACCTTTTTCATGGAAGTCCAACTTTGCTCCTGAGTAGTTTAAAGGAAGTAGTCCCATTTACTACAAGGTTTCCAGGCTGTAGGAGCAGAAAATTGACGTCTTGGCTACAGGTGATTACAACGATGAGTGCCAGGGGTAACTATGTCAATTAGAGGACTGGGACATAAATATTTGTGTGAAAAGGCTAGCTGTCATTGATTTTTTACATTTCCATAATGTATGACAGAGCAAGCATTAAAGGCAATGGTCTGAGGTGAGTCAGACTTAGTAACATTAATAAAAAAGGAGCTAGTAAGGGAATAAGGAAAGGAAGGGAAGCAATATAGAAGGTATATGAAAATTAAGCTTTTTTTAAACTTTAACTTAGCAGGGCTTGATCCTAGTACGGTAACCCATGATTCTGATGAGGAATATGTTTTCTTGACTCGGGTATGGTGGGTCCATTGTTTCTCGGCTGTGCAGATGGCAGTCTCAGTAGTTAACAGCATAAGATAGGGTCCTTCCCAGGCTGGCTTGAGTTTTTTCTTTCCTTTCTGGCTTCTGATGAGGACTTGGTTTTCAGGCTGGTGCTGGTGTACTGGAAATTCTAGGGGTGGTACCTGTGTTAAAAGACTTTTAGTTTTGAGGGAAGGGAAAGTGGAAGATAAATTAAGTATATAATTTCTGCTGCATATCCTGGGGCTTGAGGACCCATGGTGATGCCTCCCGCTCCATTCCTGCTTAGCGCTGTCCAGGGGATGCTGTGGCCCTGCCCCCTCTTAAGGTCTTGGCCTTCTTGTGACCTTCACTGTCCCCGCGTGTTGTGGCCTTGGGGATGAGGGCCCTTGTGACTTAACCGGCCGCCCTCGGGCCTTAGGAAAGCTAAACATCATTTTATATTTGACAATGATTTTTGTATGATTTTATACCAGATAAGTTAAATTTTACCTTTATATTAATGTGCTATTAATGTTAAACTTAATTTAAATAAAATCTTGTAGACATTATTTATTCATTTTTAATGTCTGACTATAAGGTAAAATTTTTATAGACTCTTTTTAACCTTTCATAATTTTTGTTAAAGAGCAGGTTAGTGCTTTAAGAAAAATCTATTGTGCTTTTATTTTAATGTCCAGTTCACAGGAAAACTGGATGATACCCCTTTAACTTTAGCCAGTATGTTTTCACACAGAGTTTCCTTTACAATTAATATTTTAAAACTTGCTTAAACCTCTAAAACAAAATGTTTTTAACCTTTTAATGTAGATAAAAATCCATATTCTTATGCCTCCTTATAATCCTTTTATTAAAAGTATATTTATTTTTCTTTATTTTTTTCTAACTCACTTTTATTTACTTGTTTTTTATTATGCTTTAACTTCTAGGGTAAATGTGCACAATGTGCAGGTTAGTTACATAGGTATACATGTGCCGTGTTGGTTTGCTGCACCCATCAGCTTATCATTTACATTAGGTATTTCTCCTAATGCCATCCCTCCCCCAGACCCCCACCCCCTGACAGGCCCCAGTGTGTGATGTTCCCCCCTGACCGTGTCCAAGTGTTCTCATTGTTCAGTTCCCACCTATGAGTGAGAACATGCAGTGTTTGGTTTTCTGTCCTTGTGATAGTTTGCTGAGAATGATGGTTTCTGGCTTCCTCCATGTCCTTGCAAAGGACATGAATTCATCCTTTTTTATGGCTGCACACTATTCCATGGTGAAAAGTGTATTTTATTTTTCTTATATACCTTGTACATAAACTGTTTTTTTGAATAGTTTTACATTCAGGAGGCCTAATTACTTTTAAATTATATAATATTTCTCTCATAAATTCCCTTTTATAATTTTTCTTATGACTTTCACAATCTTCAACATGTTTTAACTTTCTGCCTTCCTTTTACACTATTTCTTTTCCTAGTTTCACCCTCTGAGTCTTCCTTTGATTTCTCTCTTCCAGTCTCTCTCTTACTTATTATTTCCCTCTATTTCTCTCTCTCTCATTTGTGCTCCTTTTTGTCTCTCTCTCTCTGTCATGTCCTGTTTCCTTTTTCCCTCCCGAGTTCTCTGGCGGGGCTGGGCAATGGCATAGGCCCCACCTCTGTGAAAGTGCTGCCATCTGTTTCTCCTGGTTTTTATTTTTTTTCCGATTTCCCTTTTTATTTTCTTTCTTTTTTCCTACACTTAGTTTCTCAGGCTGGGTGGGATTTGTATGGCTGCAGTCTGGGTGCTGGGCCATCACTGGCCCACAGGCTTGGAAGGTGCCTGCCGCAAGTTGCAAGAATTGTGTTCTTTCACCTACTCTGCTCTACTCCTGCTACTGGTCCCCACCCTCTTTTTCACATAGAGCTGGGCTGGGGAAAGGGACTTAACCCTTGGCATGCCTGGCTGTCTGGCACTGCGCTTACTGTTTTTGCTCTCTTTTACTTTGACGTCTTCTCCTAGTTTCTTTTTCCTCTCTGTGGTCTTTCTTTTGCCTCTAACAGCCACCTGCTGATTTCCCCCCTCTCCTTCTCTTTCCCCTAGGGGAGCGACTGGTGGCAATGGAGCTTAGCATTTTTCTTTCCCCAAGAAGAGGGGAAAGGGAAGTTTTGAATTCTTTTTTTTACTACCAGAGGTTTGTGTGAGGTTCACCCCCCCATGGGGATTTCTCACCTCTTTTTGAGGTTCAATCCCCACATTGGGGATTTCTTACCTCTTTTTGAGGTTCCACTCCCCCAGTGGGGATTTCTTACCTCTTTTTGAGATTCAACCCTTCCAATGGGGATTTCTTACCTCTTTTTGAGGTTCAAACCCCCCAAATGGGGATTTCTCCCCTCTTTTTAATCTCCAAGATATCCCAGCTAAGGAATATTTCACAGCCCCCCATGGTTTTCTTTCCCTAGACCCATCTAAGGAATGATTTACCACCCCTGCAGTTTCTCTCCTTGGTATATCCTAACCAAGGAATGTGTTACCGCCCTGCAGCTTTTTCCTTAGTCCCAACCACAAAGGAAATACTTTAGCAGCTCTCCCGGTGTTTTTTTACCTCGGTCTGTGCACAGAGTTTTCTGGTTCATGTGATATGTGAGAATCCTTTACTCCTGGTCACTGGTCAGGTTTTTTTTTTTTTTTTTCTGCATTGGTGAGAGTCCAGGTTTATTTGTCACACTGGATGGGTCTTGATTCCTTATCCCTGAGGCCACTGCAATGAGGCAGAGGAGCACGCTTCCTCATGAGAGAGGATGGGAGACCACACCTGGAGGAGAAGGTATCCCCATACGGGCCAACAAAATTGTTAGAAATGCTTGTTCCCCGGTGCCATAACGAAATAGCACTAGAACATAAGTTTAATTTTATCAGCAAGGCCATTTTTACTTTCTGCAGAAAGGGTACACTCATTAATAGTTTTGTCATGAGAGTACACTGAACCAAGGAGACAGGGTTGTTTATAACCTGAAGCATCCACCCTACTGCTGTGTCCAGTTTCCAAAGGCTGGAACAGGATCTCACATTCTGTATTTGTCCCAATTGGCTAGCAACTTAGAACTTTTTAAAAGAGGCAAAGGCAGATGAGAACAAAGGAAGGAGGAAGTAACTTGTGGAATGCTGAGAAAGGTAAAAACACCTTCAAATAAGGAAAAAGAACAGGCTATGGCCTAATGCTTGCTTGGACCAGTATAAGCATGTCCAGGAAATATTTAGCTAAATTGTGGGAGTTAAGAACGTAAAGTGTATTGATTTCTTTATTACATCTATCAGATATTTGAGAACGTTAGCACAGGTTTTTGAATAAATTTTGCTTTTTTTAGTATTATACTTTAGTTCTAGGGTACATGTGCACAATGTGCAGGTTTGTTACATATGTATACATGTGCCGTGTTGGTTTGCTGCACCCATTAACTTGTCATTTACATTAGGTATTTCTCCTAATGCTATCCCTCCTCCATCCCCCCACCCTACAACAGGCCCCGGTGTGTGATGTTTCCCCCCCAGTGTCCAAGTGTTCTCATTGTTCAATTCCCACTTATGAGTGAGAACATGCAATGTTTGGTGTTCTGTCCTTGCGATAGTTTGCTGAGAATGATGGTTTCCAGCTTCATCCATGTCCCTACAAAGGACATGAACTCATCATTATTTATGGCTGCATAGTATTCCATGGTGTATATGTGCCACATTTTCTTAATTCAGTCTATCATTGATGGACATTTGGCTTGGTTCCAAGTCTTTGCTATTGCGAATAGTGCCACAATAAACATACATGTGCATGTGTCTTTATAGTAGCATGATTCATAATCCCTTGGGTATATACCCAGTAATGGGGTTGCTGGGTCAAATGGTATTTCTAGTTCTGGATCCTTGAGGAATTGCCACACTGTCTTCCACAATGGTTGAACTAGTTTACACTCCCACCAATAGTGTAATAGCGTTCCTATTTCTCCACATCCTCTCCAGCACCTGTTGTTTCCTGACTTTTTAATGATCACCATTCTAAATTGTGTGAGATGGTATCTCATTGTGGTTTTGATTTGCATTTCTCTGATGACCATATATCGATACTTCCTATCCATGAGCATGGAATGTGCTTCCATTTGTTAGTGTCCTCTTTTATTTCTTTGAGCGGTGGTTTGTAGTTCTCCTTGAAGAGTCCTTCATATCCCTTATAAGTTGGATTCCTAGGTATTTTATCCTCTTTGTAGCAGCTGTGAATGGGAGTTCACCCATGTTTTTCTGTTATTAGTGTATAAGAATGCTTGTGATTTTTGCACATTGATTTTGTATCCTGAGACTTTGCTGAAGTTGCTTATCAGCTTAAGGACATTTTGGGCTGAGGCGATGGGTTTTCTAAATATACAATCATGTTGTCTGCAAACAGGGACAATTTTTTTTTTTTTTTTTTGAGACGCAGTCTCTATTGCCCAGGCTGGAGTGCAGTGGCAAAATCTTGGCTCACTGCAAGCCTGCCTCCCAGGTTCACGCCATTCTCCTGCCTCAGCCTCCTGAGTAGCTGAGACTACAGGCACCTGCCACCACGCCTGGCTAGTTTTTTTGTATTTTTAGTAGAGATAGGGTTTCACCATGTTAGCCAGAATGGTCTCGATCTCCTGACCTTGTGATCCACCCACCTCGGCGTCCCAAAGTGTTGGGATTACAGGTGTGAGCCACTATGCCCAGCCAAACAGGGACAATTTTGACTTCCTCTTTTTCTGATTGAATACCTTTTATTTCTTTCTCTTGCCTGATTGCCCTGGCCAGAACTTCCAACACTATGTTGAATAGGAGAGGTGAGAGAGGGCATACCTGTCTTGTGCCAGTTTTCAAAGGGAATGTTTCCAGTTTTTGCCCACTCAGTATGATACTGGCTGTGGGCTTGTCATAAATAGCTCTTATTATTTTGAGATACATTCCATCAATATCTAGTTTATTGAGAGTTTTTAGCATGAAGTGCTGTTGAATTTTGCCAAAGGCCTTTTCTGCATCTATTGAGATAATCATGGGGTTTTTGTCTTTGGTTCTATTTATGTGATGGGTTATGTTTATTGATTTGGATATGTTGAACCAGCCTTGCATCCCAGGGATGAAGCCAACTTGATCATGGTGGATAAGCTTTTTGATGTGCTGCTGGATTCGGTTTGCCAGTATTTTATTGAGGATTTTTGCATTGATGTTCATCAGGGATATTGGTCTAAAATTCTTTTTTGTTGTGTCTCTGCCAGGCTTTGGTATCAGGATGATGCTCTTGTCATAAAACGAGTTAGGGAGGATTCCCTCTTTTTCTATTGATTGGAATAGTTTCAGAAGGAATGGTACCAACTCCTGTATGTACCTCTGGTAGAATTCAGCTCTGAATCTGCCTGGTCCTGGGCTTTTTTTGGTTGGTAGGCTATTAATTATTGCCTCAATTTCAGAGCCTGTTATTGGTCTATTCAGAGATTCAACTTCTTCCTGGTTTAGTTTTGGGAGAGTGTATGTGTTGAGGAATTTATCCATTCTAGATTTTCTAGTTTATTTGCATAGAGGTGTTTATAGTATTCTCTGATCGTAGTTTGTATTTCTGTGAGATGGGTGGTGATATCCCCTTTATCATTTTTTATTGCATCTATTTGATTCTTCTCTCTTTTCTTCTTTATTAGTCTTGCTAGTGGTCTATCACTTTTGTTGATCTTTTCAAAAAACCAACTCCTGGATTCATTGATTTTTTTGAAGGGTTTTTTTTGTGTCTCTATCTCCTTCAGTTCTGCTCTGATCCTAGTTATTTCTTGTCTTCTGCTAGCTTTTGAATTTGTTTACTCTGGCTTCTCTAGTTCCTTTAATTGTGATGTTAGGGTTTCAATTTTAGATCTTTCCTGCTTTCACTTGTGGGCATTTAGTGCTATACATTTCCCTCTACACACTGCTTTGAATGTGTCCCAGAGATTCTGATACATTGTGTCTTTGTGCTCATTGGTTTCAAAGAACATCTTTATTTCTGCCTTCATTTCGTTATTTACCCAGTAGTCATTCAGGAGCAGGTTGTTCAGTTTTCATGTAGTTGTGCGGTTTTGAGTGAGTTTCTTAATCCTGAGTTCTAATTTGATTGCACTGTGGTCTGAGAGACAGTTTGTTGTGATTTCTTTTTTTTACATTTGCTGAGGAGTGTTTTACTACCAATTATGTGATCAATTTTGGAATAAGTGTGATGTGGTACTGAGAAGAAGAATGTATATTCTTTTGATTTGGGGTGGAGAGTTCTGTAGATGTCTATTAGGTCCACTTGGTGCAGAGCTGAGTTGGAGTCCTGGATATCCTTATTAACCTTCTGTCTCATTGATCTGTCTAATATTGACAGTGGAGTGTTAAAATCCCCCATTATTATTTTGTGGGAGTCTGTCTCTTTGTAGGTCTCTCAGGATTTGCTTTATGAATCAGGGTGCTCCTGTATTGGGTTCATATATATTTGGGATAGTTAGCTCTTCTTGTTGAATTGATCCTTTTACCATTATGTAATGACCTTCTTTGTCTCTTTTGATCTTTGCTGGTTTAAAGTATGTTTCATCAGAGACTAGGATTGCTAGCCCTGCTGTTTTTTGCTTTCTATTTTCTTGGTAGATCTCCCTCCATCCCTTTATTTTGAGCTTATATGTGTCTTGGCACATGAGACTGGTATCCTGAATACAGCACACTGATGGGTCTTGACTCTTTATCCAATTTGCCAGTCTGTGCCTTTTAAATGGAGCATTTAGCCCATTTACATTTAAGGTTAGTATTGTTATGTGTGAATTTTATCCTGTCATTATGATGTTAGCTGGTTATTTTGCTCATTAGTTGATGCAGTTTCTTCCTAGCCTTGATGGTCTTTACAATTTGGCATGTTTTTGCAGTGGCTGGTACCAGTTGTTCCTTTCCATGTTTAGTGCTTCCTTCAGGAGCTCTTTTAGGGCAGGCCTGGTGGTGAAAAAATCTCTCAGCATTTGCTTGTCTGTAAAGTATTTTATTTCTCCTTCACTTATGAATCTTAGTCTGGCTGGATATGAAATTCTGGTTTGAAAATTCTTTTCTTTAAGAATGTTGAATATTGGCCTCTGCTCTCTTCTGGCTTGTAGAGTTTCTGCCAAGAGATCAGCTGTTAGTCTGATGGGTTTCCCTTTGTGGGTAACCCGACCTTTTTCTCTGGCTGCCCTTAACTTTTTTTCTTTCATTTCAACTTTGGTGAATCTGCCAATGATGTGTCTTCAGGTTGCTCTTCTTGAGCAGTATCTTTGTGGTGTTCTCTGTATTTCCTGAATTTGAATGTTGGCCTGCCTTGCTAGATTGGGGAAGTTTTCCTGGATAATATCCTGAAGAGTGTTGTTCAGCTTGGTTCCATTCTCCCTCTCACTTTCAGGTACACAAATCAAATGTAGATTTGGTCTTTTCACATAGTCCCATATTTCTTGGAGGCTTTGTTCATTTCTTTTTATTCTTTTTTCTCTAAACTTCTCTTCTCATTTCATGTCATTCATTTGATCTTCAATCACAGATACCCTTTCTTCCACTTGATCGATTCAGCTACTGAAGCTTGTGCATGTGTCATGTAGTTCTTTTGCCATGGTTTTCAGCTCCATGGGGTCATTTAAGGTCTTCTCTACACTGTTTATTCTAATTAGCCATTCATCTAATCGTTTTTCAAGGTTTTTAGCTTCCTTGTGATGGATTCAAACGTCCTTCTTTAGCTCGGAGAAGTTTGTTATTACTGACTTTCTGAAGCCTACTTCCGTCAGCTTGTCAAAGTCATTTTCCATCCTGCTTTGTTCCATTGCTAGTGAGGAGCTTTGATCCTTTGGAGGAGAAGGGATGCTCTGGTTTTTAGAATTTTCAGCTGTTCTACTCTGCTTTCTCCCCATCTTTGTGGTTTTATCTACCTTTGTCTTTGATGATGGTGACCCACAGATGGGGTTTTGGTGTGGATGTCCTTTTAGTTGATGTTGATGCCATTCCTTTCTGTTTGTTAGTTTTCCTTCTAACAGTCAAGTCCCTCAGCTGCAGGTCTGTTGGAGTTTTCTGGAGGTCCGCTCCAGATCCTGTTTGCCTGGGTATCACCAGCAGAGGCTGCCGAACAGCAAATATTTCAGAACAGCAAATATTGCTGTCTAATCCTTCCTCTGGAAGCTTCATCTCAGAGGGGCACCCGGCTGTATGAGGTGTCAGTCAGCCCCTACTGGGAGCTGTCTCCAAGTTAGGCTACATAGGGGTCAGGGACCCACTTGAGGCATTCTATCCATTCTGAGATCTCAAACACTGTGCTGGGAGAACCACTGCTCTCTTCAGAGCTGTCAGACAGAGACGTTTAAGTCTGCAGAAATTTCTGCTCCCTTTTGTTCAGCTATGCCCTGCCCCCAGAGGTGGAGTCTACATAGGCAGGTTGGCCTCAGTGTCCCGTGGTGGGCTCCAACCAGTTTGAGCTTCCAGGCTGCTTTGTTTATGTACTTAAGCATCAGCAATGGCAGACACTACTCCCCCAGCCATGCTTGCCACCTTGCAGTTTGATCTTGGACAAGCAGTGAGCAAGGCTCTATGGGCATGGGACCCGCTGAGCCAAGCATGGGATATAATCTCTTGGTGTTCCATTTGCTCAGTTGGAAATGCAGAAATCACCCATCTTCTGCATCGATCACACTGGGAGCTGCAGACCGGAGCTGTTCCTATTTGGCCATCTTGGAATGGACCCATCAAATAAATTTTGCTTCTAAGAGAAGTTACTATTTATTCCTAATTAGATAGGGAGGAAAGTCTTTGAAGAGGAACCTCTATGTCACCTTTTCCACAAGGTGATTATCTAATATTTGCAGGCTGAAGTACCTATACAGCAAAAGGAAGAACAGTTCAGTGCATAAACTGAACAGTGGAGTCTGTAGTTTTATCTTGCTTTGTATTTATTACTTCAGAACAATTAGCATAGTTATGTGTAGTGTTTGTAGACAACCTGCATTCATATAAATTAAACAGTATTTTCCCCCTTTTTGAGACAGTCTCACTCTCTTGCACAGGCTGGAGTGCAGTTTTGTGATCTCAGCTGACTGCAACCACTGCTTCTGGGTTCAAGCAATTCTCCTGCCTCAGCCTCCTGAGTAGCTGGGAATACAGGCTTGCATCACCACGCTTGGCTAAGTTTTTGTATTTTTAGTAGAGATGGGGTCTCACCATGTTGTCCAGCTTGATCTTGAACTCCTGACCTTGGGTGATCCACCCACCCTCAGCCTCCTAAAGTGCTGGGATTACAGGTGTGAGCCATAAACAGTATTTTCTACAATAGTATGAATATGAAGCCACAATAATTACTTTGAATCACTTAAATGGTTATTTTAATATTGTTAATTACCCTTTTGAAATATAAAGTGTTTTAAACTAACTATAGTTACAATTTTTAAAAATGCTACATACATTATGACTAGTTCATTAAAATTATTCATACTTATTTATATCTAATATCAAAAGAAAATGTACTACCAAATTGTTACAGTAGATATCAGTCTGACATGTTTATTACTTTATTCAATAGGAATAATTACGACTAAACACAATTTTAGTATCTTTTATTTCACTAAATTGGAATGCTGCTATTACAGGATAAATAAAGACAGGTGATGTGGCCACCCAAACACCATAATAACTATTCAGTTAGCTATGTTGCAATTTCTAATGTATTCCACTATATGAACACAGTCAGATTCTATTTATTCATCAAAAAGTGTTAAGTTGTCAGATGTATTTCAATATAGAACCCCCATTCAATGGCTATGACATGAGAGAGCAGCAGAGATGGAAAAGAAACTTTTATAAAATTCCTCTGAAAATATGCCCCATTTTTTCATAATGCTCATATGTTTCTCATGCTATGTACATTGGGTGTTTAGAGAGAAATTTCTTTTAGGGGAATATTTTCTGGCTGACATAATCAATCTTATATCTAATCTAAGCTTTTTCTTAAGATCTTTTTAACTTTCTTCTTTCAAAATAATCTTGCTCAGATGGAGATCTGTTTTTCTCTCCAGTGCTTTGTCTGTTTCAGAAGCCCTATTAGTATCCCATGGTGCCTGAATGAGGTGGGCTGTCACAGTGAGAACTTTTGGAGCTATCTCTATCTGGACTCATGCTGGAAACTCAGCAGTATTTTTTCCATGTCACCATTATAAGTAGAAGCTGGGGCTGAAACACTGCTCCCATTCCCATTATCAGGCTACAACATATGCAGAGCCATGGCCACAACTATATTTACCTGTAAAATGTGTTACTGGAGTAGAGTATTTTTGTTCTTTCCCTTACACAAGAGCTAGCAAACCAGGACAGGTGATCCAGGTTCTGGAGCTCAACCAAGGCAGTTTCATTTTCCTTTTTTCTTTTTTTTTTTAGACAGAGTTTCAGTCTTCTTCCCCAGGCTGGAATGCAATGGCCCAATCTCGGCTCACTGCAACCTCCACTTCCTGGGTTCAACTGATTCTCCTGCCTCAGCCTCCCGAGTAGCTGAGATTACAGGCATGTGCTACCACGCCTGGCTAATTTTGTATTTTTAGTAGAGATGGAGTTTCTCCCTGTTAGTCAGGCTGGTCTCAAGCTTCTTACCTCAAGTGATCTACCCACCTTGGCCTCCCAAAGTTCTGGGATTACAGGCAGAAGCCACCGCACTCAGCCAGGCAGTTCCATTTTTTATTTAGAATCAGCCTGAGTCTCTCCAGCCTGGCTTATTATTGGGCCATCAGCCCTGGGTCACTGGGAATTCTCTCACAATCACCTAGGTGTGTTTGAGGCATTTCAGGATGGCCAGAGTAGAATTGTTTCAGGCTGACAAGAGTGGTTAATTCTGCTTCTGTCTCAGTGTAAGAGAAGTGAGTCATCCTGTGTTTGTTCATCCCCTCATACAAGAGGTGTCTTTGGTTGATACACAGATGACAGTTTCTCCAGTTTCCTGGTACTTGGATAATAAACAAGGAAAAGATCTGGAGACCCAAATAGATAAACTAGTTGCTTCCATTTCATATAGTCATTAAAAAAAAATGAAGAAGTCATGGTTCCTACAATCCAGAAACTTTTAATCTAGACTAGCAACTGGGTAAATAATTAAATTAAGCATCATATGGTTGGTCCAACAAAGAGATGTGTCCAAAATCTTGGGCTTTATTTAGGCCACTTTCTTTATATTGCTGTGACTTCTGTTGGCTACACCTGTAGGGATATTCATGAACAGAATTGTTATTAAATATATATGTGTGTGTATGTATGTGTATATATATATATATATATATATATATAGAGAGAGAGAGAGAGAGAGAGAGAGAGAGAGAGAGAGAGATAGTCTCACTCTATCACCCAAACTAGAGTGCAGTAGCAGAAACTCGGCTCACTGCAATCTCTGTCTCCTGGGTTCAAGTGATTCTCCTGCCTCAGTCTCCCGAGTAGCTGGGATTGTAGGTGGCTCCCACTGAACCCGGCTGATTTTTGTATTTTTAGTCGACATCGTGTTTCACCATCTTGGTGAAGCTGGTCTTGAACTCTTGACATCACGATCCAACTGCCTTGGCCTCTCAAAGTGCTGGAATTGCAGGCATGAGCCTTTGTGCCCAGCTGTATAATTTTTATTTCTTTTACCTTGCTACGTGTACATATTTATTTTCTAATAAAATTACCCTAGAAAGCTGGGCGCAGTGGCTCATGCCTGTAATCCAGCACTTTGGGAGGCTGAGATGGGTGGATCACGAGGTCAGGAGTTCAAGACCAGCTTGGCAAATATATGGTTTTGTAATAATACAAAAATTGGCCAGGCATGGTGGTGCATGCCTGTAATCCGAGCTACTCAGGAGGCTGAGGCAAAAGAATCGCCTGAACCAGGGAGGCAGAGGTTGCAGTGAGCCAAGATCATGCCACTGCACTGCAGCATGGGTGACAGAACAAGACTCCATACCCCCCGCCAAAAAAAATTACCCTAGAAAACTTTAAGGGATTTATGTAATTGCATATTAGTATATAGTATAAAGTTGACAGGATAGTGGCTAGAAGAGTCTAAAATTACAGAAACTCTGGGATTTAAGTTTCTTTTAGGTAAGCTTAGAAAAAACAAAACTGGAAGTCCTGTAGTGCCATAGAGAACAGAATTCTACATAGGGTCGTCCTCCTGTCACAGACCTGTTCAGATTAACCCTTTTTGGAGGCCTTATTTAGGTCTGAACCTACCCTGAAGTCTTGCCTCACAGAACTGATTAGAAGGGATCAGAGTTTGGCTGGGGAATCCTGGTTGCATTTCTAGACCTGGTGCTCACAAATTTCTGAAACCCAAAAGCAGATAAATAGGAAAAATAAATTATGTATTGTCGGGTATTAGTTTTTAAATTTTCTATTAAAACCAGTGCTTGCAGAGACATTCTATTTAGTAACTTGTTTTCTATTCCTACAGACCCAGTCGTTGCTACACAAGTCATAAAAAAAGTAAACATAAACAGAATAAAATTTTCTGTACACTACATTCAACTCTTCCTTTCTATATTTCTCTCATCTGTCTATATTTAGCTTTTATTCTTTACAATTTTTAAAAGTTTTGATGACAGAGAAACAAGAAGAAATAAAAATGCTGGGCCCTTTATCTAAATCCTGGAAATTATTAAACCCTTAGTACCAGCTCCCAGGGTGTTATCAGAATTAAATCACATAATGTGTTATGCCCAGCACAGTGCTCTGTATCCTACTCTTGAGCTCATAGTACCTGCTTAATAAACATTGCATTAGTACAGGTGTACATGTTGTTTTTAAATCCAAACGTATTGAGATATTGCTGCCTCCTATTTTCTCTGTCAACTTTAAAGAGCCAGCAAATAATATGTCTTTAGGATGCAGATGGGTTGTCCTTATTTGTACCAGAAGTATTTGGTTGTTACAAGAGTTCAGAGTGTAAGGAACCCTGTGCTGTGCCTGCTTTCTCTAACTAATGCTAATAATGAGCCAAGGGGGAGCAACATCAGCATTGACAGGAAACTTGTTTAAAACACCTATTTATGGACCTTTTTCAAACCTGCAGAATCACATTACATAAAGTGGGGTCAAATTTACCAAGTGATTTATAAGCTCGTTAAAGCTTGAGAGAAAATGCTTAGCTTAGTGGTTATCAGCCCAGGCTTGTCACTAGGACAACATGGCCAATTTGCAGAAATATCTTGTGCCCTCCCCACAGCTTCTGTTTATTGTTCTGGGTGGAAGCATTCAGGTTGTTTTAATTAAGGGCCTCATGTGACTCTAAGGTGAGGCCAGAATCAAGTATGAACACTTCAAAATACAGTCATGAGAATTAAGTTCCACTTTTGCACTAAAGGGTGTTTACAAGGCCTGTTCTGTTTGGATTTGGTAGGGACAGGTCAGTGTGGCATATATCTGCATTACTGTAGAAGAAATTGCTGGTGTCTGTGGCAGGTGATGGCACCTGAGGAAAGGAAAGGAGAAACATACTATTATCTTCATGGAGCAGCACATTGTTCCTGAATCTCTTCTGTTTTAAAGGAAAGAAATGGCTGGACTTTTTCTTTTTCTGCCAGTTGTTGTCATGCTAGCAGGTAAATATGTGGCACTGACATCCTTAAAGGCATATTCTCAAGATGCAGGTGTAATTTGTTCAGAGAGTCTCATCTGAGAAGGAACTCCAGAGAAGGAGAAGAAAGAGAAAAAATGGCTTTTCTTCAGGTAAACATGTCTCACATCAAGAGCAGTGTCCACTCTGCCTCCTGGACTGCCATGCGTTTGGTATTCACAAACCTTTACTTCTCTACTTGTGTTTTTCCTCCCTAATGAGTTTAGTTTAAGTGCTTCTTTTTTTTTTTTTTGTTATACTTTAAGTTTTAGGGTACATGTGCACAACGTGCATGTTTGTTACATATGTATACATGTGACATGCTGGTGCACTGCACCCATTAACTCATCATTTAGCATTAGGTATATCTCCTAATGCCATCCTTACCCCCTACCCCCACCACACAATAGGCCCCGGTGTGTGACGTTCCCCTTCCTATGTCCATGTGTTCTCATTGTTAAATTCCCATCTATGAGTGAGAACATGTGGTGTTTGTTTTTTTGTCCTTGCGATAGTTTGCTGAGAATGATGGTTTCCAACTTCATCCATGTCCCTACAAAGGACATGAACTCATCATTTTTTATGGCTGCATAGTATTCCATGGTGTATATGTGCCACATTTTCTTAATCCAGTCTATCATTGTTGGACATTTGGCTTGGTTCCAAGTCTTTGCTATTGTGAATAGTGCTGCAATAAACATATGTGTGCATGTGTCTTTATAGCAGCATGATTTATAGTCCTTTGGGTATATACCCAGTAATGGGATTGCTGGGTCAAATGGTATTTCTAGTTCTAGATCCCTGAGGAATCGCCACACTGACTTCCACAATGGTTGAACTAGTTTACAGTCCCACCACCAGTGTAAAAGTGTTCCTTGTTTCTCCACATCCTCTCCAACTCCTGTTGTTTCCTGACTTTTTAATGATCGCCATTCTAACTGGTGTGTGATGGTATCTCATTGTGGTTTTGATTTGCATTTCTCTGATGGCCAGTGATGACGAGCATTTTTTCATGTTCTTTGGCTGCATAAATAACTTCTTTTGAGAAGTGTTTGTTCATATCCTTCACCCACTTTTTGATGGGGTTGTTTGTTTTTTTTCTTGTAAATTTGCTTGAGTTCATTGTAGATTTTGGATATTAGCCCTTTGTCAGATGAGTAGGTTGCGAAAATTTTCTCCCATTCTGTAGGTTGCCTGTTCACTCTGACGGTAGTTTCTTTTGCTGTGCAGAAGCTCTTGAGTTTAATTAGATCCCATTTGTCAATTTTGTCTTTTGTTGCCATTGCTTTTGGTGTTTTAGACATGAAGTCCCTGCACATGCCTATGTCTTGAATGGTATTGCCTAGGTTTTCTTCTAGGGTTTTCATGGTTTTAGTTCTAACATGGAAGTCTTTAATCCATCTTGAATTAATTTTTGTATAAGGTGTAAGTAAGGGATCCAGTTTCATCTTTCTACATAAGGCTAGCCAGTTTTCCCAGCACCATTTATTAAATAGGGAATCCTTTCCCCATTGCTTGTTTTTGTCAGGTTTGTCAAAGATCAGATAGTTGTAGATATGTGGCATTATTTCTGAGAGCTCTGTTCTGTTCCATTGGTTTATATCTCTGTTTTGGTACCAGTACAATGCTGTTTTGATTACTGTAGCCTTGTAGTATAGTTAGAAGTCAGGTAGGGTGATGCCTCCAGCTTTGTTCTTTTGGCTTAGGATTGACTTGGTGATGCGGGCTCTTTTTTGGTTCCATATGAACTTTAAAGTAGTTTTTTCCAATTCTGTGAAGAAAGTCATTGGTAGCTTGATGGGGATGGCATTGAATCTATAAATTACCTTGGGCAGTATGGCCATTTTCATGATATTGATTCTTCCCACCCATGAGCATGGAATGTTCTTCCATTTGTTTGTATCCTCTTTTATTTCATTGAGCAGTGGTTTGTAGTTCTCCTTGAAGAGGTCCTTCACATCCCTTGTAAGTTGGATTCCTAGGTATTTTACTCTCTTTGAAGCAATTGTGAATGGGAGTTCACTCATGATTTGGCTGTTTGTCTGTTATTGGTGTATAAAAATGCTTGTGATTTTTGCACATTGATTTTGTATCCTGAGACTTCGCTGAAGTTGCTTATCAGCTTAAGGAGATTTTGGGCTGAGACGATGGGGTTTTCTAGATATACAATCATGTCATCTGCAAACAGGGACAATTTGACTTCCTCTTTTCCTAATTGAATACCCTTTATTCCCTTCTCCTGCCTCATTGCCCTGGCCAGAACTTCCAACACTATGTTGAGTAGGAGTGGTGAGAGAGGGCATCCCTGTCTTGTGCCAGTTTTCAAAGGGAATGCTTCCAGTTTTTGCCCATTCAGTATGATATTGGCTGTGGGTTTGTCATAGATAACTCTTATTATTTTGAGATAGGACCCATCAATACCTAATTTATTGAGAGTTTTTAGTATGAAATGTTGTTGAATTTTGTTGAAGGCCTTTTCTGCATCTATTGAGATAATCATGTGGTTTTTGTCTTTGGTTCTGTTTATGTGCTAGATTACATTTATTGATTTCCATATGTTGAACCAGCCTTGCATCCCAGGGATGAAGCCCACTTGATCATGGTGGATAAGCTTTTTGATGTGTTGCTGGATTTGGTTTGCCAGTATTTTATTGAGGATTTTTGCATCAATGTTCATCAAGGATATTGGTCTAAAATTCTCTTTCTTTGTTGTGTCTCTGCTAGGCTTTGGTATCAGGATGATGCTGGCCTCACAAAATGAGTTAGGGAGGATTCCCTCTTTTTCTACTGATTAGAATAATTTTAGATGGAATGGTATCAGCTTCTCCTTGTACCTCTCATAGAATTCGGCTGTGAATCCATCTGGTCCTGGAATTTTTTGGTTGGTAAGCTGTTAATTATTGCCTCAATTTCAGAGCCTGTTATTGGTCTATTCAGAGATTCAACTTCTTCTTGGTTTAGTCTTGGGAGAGTGTATGTGTTGAGGAATTTATCCATTTCTTCTAGATTTTCTAGTTTATTTGCTTAGAGGTGTTTATGGTATTCTCTGATGGTGGTTTGTATTTCTGTGGGATCAGTGGTGATATCCCCTTTATCATTTTTTATTTCATCTATTTGATTTTTCTCTCTTTTCTTCTTTATTGGTCGTGCTAGTGGTCTATCACTTTTGTTGATCTTTTCAAAAAACCAGCTCCTGGATTCATTAATTTTTTGAAGGGGTTTTTGTGTCTCTATTTCCTTCAGTTCTGCTCTGATCTTAGATATTTCTTGCCTTCTGATAGCTTTTGAAAGTGTTTGCTCTTGCTTCTCTAGTTCTTTTAATTGTGATGTTAGGGTGTCAATTTTAGATCTTTCCTGCTTTCTCTTGTGGGCATTTAGTGCTATAAATTTCCCTCTACACACTGCTTTGAATGTGTCCCAGAGATTCTAGTATGTTATGTCTTTGTTCTCATTGGTTTCAAAGAACATCTTTATTTCTGCCTTCATTTCGTTATTTACCCAGTAGTCATTCAGGAACAGGTTGTTCAGTTTCCATGTAGTTTTGCAGTTTTGAGTGAGTTTCTTAATCCTGAGTTCTAGTTTGATTGCACTGTGGTCTGAGAGACAGTTTGTTATAATTTCTGTTCTTTTACATTGCTGAGGAGTGCTTTACTTCCAACTATATGATCAATTTTGGAATAGGTGTGGTGTGATGCTGAAAAGAATGTGTATTCTATTGATGTGGGGTGGAGAGTTCTGTAGATGTCTATTAGGTCCACTTGGTGCAGAGCTGAGTTGAATTCCTGGATATCCTTGTTAACTTTCTGTCTCATTGATCTGCCTAATGTTGACAGTGGGGTGTTAAAGTCTCCCATTATTATTTTCTGGGAGTCTAAGTCTCTTTATAGGTCACTAAGGACTTTGCTTTATGAATCTGGGTGCTCCTGTATTGGGTGCATATATATTTAGGATAGTTAGCTCTTCTTGTTGAATTGATCCCTTTACCATTATGTAATGGCTTTCTTTGTCTCTTTTGATCTTTGTTGGTTTTAAGTCTGTTTTATCCGAAACTAGGATTGCAACCCCCGCCTTTTTTTGCTGTCCATTTGCTTGGTAGATCTTCCTACATCCCTTTATTTTGAGTCTATGTGTGTCTCTGCACGTGAGATGGGTTTCCTGAATACAGCACACTGATGGGTCTTGACTTTTTATCCAATTTGCCAGTGTGTGCCTTTTAAATGGAGTATTTAGCCCATTTACATTTAAGGTTAGTATTGTTATGTGTGAATTTTATCCTGTCATTATGATGTTAGCTGGTTATTTTGCTCATTAGTTGATGCAGTTTCTTCCCAGTCTTGATGGTCTTTACAATTTGGCATGTTTTTGCATTGGCTGGTACCAGTTGTTCCTTTCCATGTTTAGTGTTTCTTTCAGGAGATCTTTTAGGGCAGGCCTGGTGGTGACAAAATCTCTCAGCATTTGCTTGTCTGTAAAGTATTTTATTTCTCCTTCACTTATGAAGGTTAATTTGGCTGGATATGAAATTCTGGGTTGAAAATTCTTTTCTTTAAGAATGTTGAACATTGGCCCCCACTCTCTTCTGGCTTGTAGAGTTTCTGCCAAGAGATCAGCTGTTAGTCTGATGGGTTTCCCTTTGTGGGTAACCTGACCTTTCTCTCTGGCTGCTCTTAACATTTTTTCCTTCATTTCAACTTTGGTGAATCTGACAGTTATGTGTTTTGGAGTTGCTCTTCTCAAGGAGTGTCTTTATGGTGTTCTCTGTATTTCCTGAATCTGAATGTCGGCCTGCCTTGCTAGGTTGGGGAAGTTCTCCTGAATAATATCCTGCAGAGTGCTTTCCAACTTGTTTCCATTCTCCCCATCACTTTCAGGTACACCAATCAGATGTAGATTTGATCTTTTCACATAGTCCCATATTTCTTGTAGTCTTTGTTCATTTCTTTTTATTCTTTTTTCTCTTAACTTCTCTTCATGCTTCATTTCATTCATTTCATCTTCCATCACTGATACCCTTTCTTCCAGTTGATTGCATTGGTTAATGAGGCTTGTGCCTTCGTCACGTAGTTCTCATGCTATGGTTTTCAGCTTCATCAGGTCCTTTAAGGACTTCTCTGCATTGATTATTCCAGTTATCCATTCATCTAATTTTTTTTCAAAGTTCTTAACTTCTTTGCCATGGGTTCAAACTTCCCCCTTTAGCTTGGAGTGGTTTGATCTTCTGAAGCCTTCCTCTCCCATTTAGTCAAAGTCATTCTCCATCCAGCTTTGTTCTGTTGCTGGTTAGGAGCTGTGTTCCTTTGGAGGAGGAGAGGTGCTCTGATATTTAGAGTTTCCATTTTTTCTGCTCTGTTTTCTCCCCATCTTTGTGTTTTTATCTACCTTTGGTCTTTGATGATGGTGACGTACCGATGGGTTTTTGATGTGGATGTCCTTTCTGTTTGTTAGTTTTCCTTCTAACAGTCAGGACCCTCAGATGCAGGTCTGTTGGAGTTTACTGGAGGTCCACTCCAGACCCTGTTTGGCTGGGTGTCAGCAGCGGTGGCTGCACAACAGTGGATATTGGTGAACCACAAATGCTGCTGCCTGATCGTTCCTCTGGAAGTTTTGTCTCAGAGGAGTACCCGGCCATGTGAGGTGTCAGTCCGCCTCTACTGGGGGGTGCCTCCCAGTTAGGCTACTCAGGGGTCAGGGACCCACTTGAGGAGGCAGTTTGCCCATTCTCAGATCTCAAGCTGTGTGCTGGGAGAACCACTACTCTCCTCAAAGCTGTGACACAGGGACATTTAAGTCTGCAGAAGTTATTGCTGTCTTTTGTTTGTCTGTGCCCTGCCCCCAGAGGTTGAGCCTACAGAGGTAGGCAGGCCTCCTTGAGCTGTGGTGGGCTCCACCCAGTTCGAGCTTCCAGGCTGCTTTGTTTACCTACTCAAGCCTGAGCAATGGCGGGCACCCCTCCCCCAGCCTCACTGCCGCCTTACAGTTTGATCTCAGACTGCTGTGCTAGCAATGAGTGAGGCTCCGTGGGTGTAGGGCCCTCCAAGCCAGGTGTGGGATATAATCTCCTGGCGTGCCGTTTGTGAAGCCCATTGGAAAAGCACAGTATTAGGGTGGGAGTGACCCAATGTTCCAGGTGCCATCTGTCACCCCTTTCTTTGACTAGGAAAGGGAATTCCCTGACCCCTTGCGCTTCCTGGGTGAGGCGATGCCTCGCCCTGCTTTGGCTCACACAGTGTGTGCTGCACCCACTGTCCTGCACCCACTGTCCAGCACTCCCCTGTGAGATGAACCCGGTACCTCAGTTGGAAATACAGAAATCCGTCTTCTGCGTCGCTCATGCTGGGATCTGTAGACTGGAGCTGTTCCTATTCGGCCATCTTGGCTCCACCCCCTATTCTCAGTTTGAGTTCTTCTTAAAATACTTATGATAGTCAAGGGTCTCTGAAAAATATTTATTTCCTATATTCCAGAACTTTCTCTACATTTTCTATGTCGTAGCTTCTTATATGCCATGCAGAATTCTCAGCAAGAATTTATGATCTGAAATGTAGGATACAGTAAATATCTCTTTAAAGGTTTCAGCTTAACTTCCTTTAAAATCCAAGAGAGGAAAATCGTTAAGTACAATGAGTTCTGAAGTCCTCTTCAAAGAACCAATATTTCAGTATTATCAGCTTCCCTGTTCTTTGTTCTCCATTTTAATGTTTAAATTCCTCAATCTTTATGTCTCCTTGCCCCTAGTTTCAGTAAGCAACCCCCTTCTAACTCACATATTTAGGGTACTTACTCATCCCCAGTCACCTAATCTGTTCTGAGTCACCCCTAGTCACCTGCTGTGAATCATCCCTAGTTACCTGCTCTATTCTGAGTCACCCCCAGTCAAATGCCTTGTGACCATCCTTCCTGCTGAAACTACTCACCTCGCCACCCTTGCTCTCTTTAAAATAGCTAATTGGAATTAACTAAGACTGTGCGGTCTAACCCTAGCCAATAGGAGAAAGACACATCACTAGGGACTAGCGGTTTAAAGGATAAGACCCCCTTCCCCTCTCTTGTCCAATTGTGCTCTTGCTATTGCTCCACCTGTGAGACGCAGTCTTCTATAGAAGGAAATTTGCCTTGCTTCAACGTTCTCGATTTGAGTGCTCGTTTACTCTGAAACTCTGAGCAATTGTTTCCAATATGCAATATTAAAAATGTTCCCTTTATGGCTGTTGAACATGAGAAGGTGTGGATACTCAAGATTTATCTTGGGAAAAACTGTGGTCCTTAGTAAAGATGGAAAACATGTAATGTTGAGGCTCCATCTGTGGGTTCCATTAGCTCTATGCAGAGCAGGATTAAGAAAATGCTTGTGGCCAGATGCAGTGGCACACTCCTGTAATCCCGATACTTTGAGAGGCTGGTGGACCACGAGGTCAGGAGATTGAGACCATCCTGGCTAACATGGTACAACCCCATCTGTACTAAAAATTCAAAAAAAAAAAAAAAAAATGAGCCAGGCATGGTGGTACAAGCCTGTAGTAACAGAATTCGGGAGGCTGAGGCAGGAGAATCACTTGAGCCCAGTAGGTTGATGTTGCCCTCAAAAATGTACATGTTCATATTCAATCCCTTAATTTTATACTTCGTTACCTAGAAAAATATCATATATGTAATGATGTTGTGGATCTTACGCTGCTCCTCTTTCTCAGAGTTAAAGAATACATTAGAGCATATTTCTGTGTTGAAAATTATTTTATTGGATAATTTTAGTCAGTCCTATAAGTAAGAACCAGTTCTCTTTACTTTCCAATTTCACCTTAAGTCAAAATAACAACTCCGCCCACGGCCACTTGGTAAAAATATGTGTGTTTGTGTGTGTGTGTTTTAGGGGCCATTGCAATTTAGAGATGTGGCCATAGAATTCTCTCTGAAGGAGTGTCATTTCTGGATCTGCACAGTGAAATTTATATAGGGATATGATGTTAGAGAACTACAGAAACCTGGTCTTTCTTGGTGAGGATAACTTTAATACATAATTCGTAACATACCCTGAAGGTTTTATTTATCTTTTTTGTGGAGTGTTTTTTAGTAATTTATTCTTTGCATCAAAGAGTTTCAGAATGCTTTTTTCCCAGAAAATCTTCAGAATTTTTTCATTTAGAAAAGAATTTCTTCAAGATATTTCATCTTAATCCAAACTTTCCACATTCCTGAGTTGAGCTGTATTCTTCACTCTAAATTTGTGGTAATTCCTGAAATTTTGGCATAAAATATGGTTGCTCCCACCTGAAAATCTAACTGCCAGCACCAAGTTTTGATTCAGTAGTATCAGGTAGTAAAATTTAAAAACCTACGTGCAGGACCTGGCACAGTGGCTCACGCCTATAATCCCAACACTTTGTGAGGCTGAGGCAGGAAGATCACCTGAGGTCAGGAGTTCCAAACCAGCCCGACCAACATGGAGAAACTCCATCTCTACTAAAAATACAAAATTAGCCAGGCATGGTGGCACACACCTGAAATCCCAGCTACTCCAGAGGCTGAGGCTGGATAATTGGTAGAACCCGGGAGGCAGAGGTTTCACTGAGCCGAGATCGCACCATTGCACTTCAGCCTGCGCAACAAGAGCCAAACTCGGTCTCAAAAAAATAAAAAAAATAAAAAAATAAAGAAAAAGAAACCTACAGGTTGAAAGTATTTTCTAAATATTTAGAAATTTCTGTTATAACTTAGTATTTTGGTATTAATTTACCAGAATATTGTATTACATCCTCTCTGCTGAGCACATTACTAGCTTGTAATTGGAGAATATGAGAAAGATTCATGTTATTTATTTTTAATAAAACAGTTATTGTTGTCTCTAAGCCAGACCTGATCACCTGTCTGGAGTAAGAAAAAAAACTATGAAGAGACATGAGATGATTGCCAAACACCCAGGTGGGTGCGAGTGAAAACGAATGCAACAGATGGCACAGATAAGAGATCCCAAGGTTAAAGAGAAAGCCAGTCCTTAAAATGTGTTTTGGGAAGCTGTGTTCCAAAGGAAATAGTCCTGGGCAGCTGTTTTTGTTTTTGTTTTAATTTTTCTCTCACAAAGAGACACTTCTGTCATATGCTTTTAAATTCTTTAAGAATTCTTCTTTTCTTTCAGTGAGCTCCCTTCAAGTTCACAGTGAGAGCCAAAGTCCACTTCACAGCATATAAGAGGCTGCATAATCTGGCTTCTTTTCCAGTGTTTTGGGGACACACAAATATCTGCTTTTTTTTGAGAAACTAAAACTATTCTCAAAGTTCTCTTTTTGCATAGGTCTGAAATGTGTGAGAGTAGTAGTTTCTGTTGAATTTTTCTTGCTCAGTCTTCTGCACAGTCCATTCTGTTTTTATTACTATATAATCTTGAAATAGACTTCAAAAGTATAAGTTTTGCTTATACTTCTGCTCTGTTCTTTTCATCAAGATTGCTTTGGCAATTCAAAGCTTATTATAGTTTCATGTAAATTTCAGAATTGTATTTTTCATTACTGTCAAAAAGATACCATTGCAATTTTAATGGGAAGTTTATTGAATCTATAGATCACTTTGAATAATATGGCACTTTAATAATATTTATACTTTCAATCCATAGACATAAAATATTTTAAAATTTATTTATAACTTTTCTAATTTTTTCATTTTTTTAGTAAAGATTTTTTACTTCCTTGGTTAATTTTTTTCTCAGAAATTTATTATTTAATGCTATAGTAAATAAGATTTTTTTCTTCCTCTATTTTATCAGATAGTTTAAGTGTATAAAACCGTACATATGCTTGTATGTTAGTTTTATATTTTGCTAATTTACTGAGTGTATGTATTAGTTTAGACAGCTTCGAATGTACTCTTTATGGGTTTTTAAATATAAGATTATATGATCTACAAGCAGCAATTTTTTATTTATTTTTCCTCAATTTTAATGGATTTTTAAAATTTCTTTGACTAATTCTTCTGCCACATACTTCCAGTGCTACATTAAAGTAGAAGCATTGACAATGGACAGAATATAGTTTGGTATTTGTGTCTGAATTTGATGGAGCAAACACCACTTTAAATTTTCATAAACTGATTTCAGAAGGTAAAGATCTTTTGTTGGGCCCTTAGGGTGATGAGATGCCCTCTGAATTTGTAGTGAAGAGGGGTTGTAGCTTGGTCACAAGGCTGCTGGGTCTGAACTAGGGTTCACCTTTAGTTGGCTTGTTACAGGGGCTTGGGTAGTTGTAATTCCCATTTCATTTTTGGACAGACTGAATATCCTTCAGGGCTTTGCTCCATAGGGCAAACACTAGGGCAAGTTTTTGCAGTTCGGTCTGCATATGGTGGACCTTGTATCAGGATGTTGATGAGTATGGCTTTCAGTGAGTACCAGAGAGCATTTCCTCAGGTAACTGTGTGGGTTTCTATATAGGGAGAACTGACCATAAACAGTGGCTCGGGTAACTGAAACTGAGTCATTGAACTGCCTCAGTGACCCCAGTAAAGGCCCAGATCTGCAGGCCTGCCTGCATGGATGTAAATGGGCACCTTCCTCCAGGTATCTGGAATAGCAGGACCTCTGCCAGACTGTGGCTGGAAGGAGTTTGGGATGGTTACAGAGTAAGTTTAGAATTCTCAGTGGAACCAAGTTGGGTGAACCCTATCCTGGTCTGTAGCTAAAACAGGAGTCCTGCAGTATCCCACATGAATGAGGGCCTGCCTTCCGAATAGAATCCTTCTCAAACTTAAGCTTTAACATCGTTTCACAACTGCGTCCCTGCATCTCACATCTCTCTTAGAGGCACTTATTTGGGAGATGACATCTTGCTACATAACCCAGGCTGGCCTCAAAATCCTCACCTGAAGCAGTTCTCCAACCTAATGTACCATGAAGCTGTCATTATAGATGTGAGCAATAATGCCCTGTTCTCTCATAAAGGCATTTTTGTCAGGGATGGCTGACTTTTTTTGCTGTAAGGGAATATGAAAATAGGGCACTTTTAATCTTTTTATCTTACTGATGTCACTCTCCTTATACATTTTTACTTTCTATTTTCTATTTCAAATTTTTCTGTAATTTTAGATTCAGATATTTAGGACAATATGCTAGAATTTGCATGGTATGCCTCAAGTAAATTAGATAATTAATAGGCACTCCATATTTACTAAAACACTTACATATAAGTTTAAGTTTGATACAGGCAAAAAGGAATTATAGGATTTTCATCTACTTATTTCAGGCTATATCTAAATAATAACATAGTTTATTTCTTAATATTTGTTTCACATATGAGAGGGCCTAACCATATTCTGCAAAATATATATCTTTTTCTGTACTTAACAATGTAAGGCTATTCTTTCCTTTTAAAGTTGGATTACAGCAGTTTCATTTTGTGTAACAATAGCATATATTTAAAACATAAAAAGCAACTCTAGTTTCTTTAAAATGCTAATTTATTGTTTCTCTTTAGAATCTTCTATTTATAATTATACTGCATATTCTCTGAAATTTTACTGCCACACAATGCATGCCAATGATTTAAAATATTTGTATATGATGAGTACATAGTAACAGCTAAATATTGCAGTTACATAGTTTTTTTTTGTTTTTTTTTGTTTTTTTTTTTGAGAAGCAATTACACTTTCTCACCCAGGCTGGATTGCCGTCGGGTGATCTTGGCTCACTACAACATTCACCTCCCGGGTTCAAGCAATTCTTGTGCCTCAGCCTCCCAAGTAGCTGGTATTACAGGTATGTGCCACCATGCCCAGCTAATTTTTGTATTTTTAGTAGAGATGTGGTTTTACCACTTTAGCCAGGGTGGTCTTAAACTCTTGACCTCAGGTGATCTGTCCCCCTTGGCCTCCCAAAGTGCTGAGATTATAGGCATGAATCACTACACCCTGCCTGACAAATTTTGTTTGATGATACATCAATGTAGTATACCAGATTTTATGAGCAAACATTTCTCTTATTATTGTTTGAAGTTCTATGTTAGTGAGTTTCTCCGGTGTAGATTTATTTATTACTTTTTTTTTTTTTTTGAGAGGGAGTCTCTCTCCGTCACCCAGGCTAAAGTGCAGTGGCACAGTCTCAGCTCACAGCAACTTCTGCCTTCCAAGTTTAAGCCATTCTTCTGCCTCAGCCTCTTGAGTAGCTGGGACTACAGGCACGCCACCAAGCCCAGCTAATTTTTGTATTATTATTAGAGACAGTGTTTCACCTTATTGGCCAGGCTGGTCTCAAACTCCTGACCTCGTGATATGCCTGCCTCAGCCTCCCAAAGTGCTGGGATTATAGTCATGAGCCACCGAGTCCAGCCTCGGTGTAGGTTTCCCAACATCAGTTTATTGTGTCTATTGGTTATACTTACGTATTATAATTTTAGACAATTTGCAATTCCATTTGTATATTTAAGTCAATATGAGTTTTATCTAAGAAATAAATTGTGCATGTCTATCACAACTGGATTACATGTGTATGTGTGCTAACCTATAAATATGACCCAAATTTTAGTTATGGCTTATTTCATATTCTCTCTTAGCTAATTTTCGATGGTAATTTTATCTTGTCTGAGTAGTCATGGAGATAGCCTTATTTTCACCATGTGTTTAATGATTAATATATATTTCTTTTTGTGAGAGAAACACTTTTGTGATTTGAAGTTAATTTCCAAAAAGATTTATAATTCTGGATTTTTTAAAGTTTTTCTCTATAAACATTGTTTTAAAAACACATAACATAATATTTACCATCTTAAATTTATTGATGTGTATACTTCAGGGCCAGGCATGGTTGTGGCTCTCATCTGTAATCCCAAGATTTTGGGAGGCCAAGACAGGGGGATCCCTGGAGCCCAAAAGTTTGAGACCAGCCTGGGAAACATAGGGAGACCCCTCTCTATAAAAAGAAAAAATTAATGATAGCCGTGTATGGTGGTGTGAAGCTGTGGTCCCAGCTACATGGGAGATTGAATTGTGCCACTACACTCCAGCTCGGGTGACCCTGTCTCAAAAAAAAAAAAAAGCTTTTCATTTCAGGCATGTTAAGTTTATTTACATTGTTATGCAAAAGACTTCTAGAAACTTTACATCTTGCAAAACAAAAATTCAGTACTCATTAAGTAACAACTTCTCATTTTACCCTCTCTCCAGCTTTTGACAAACCTTCCATTTTCTGTTTTTATGATTTTGACTACTTAAGATATCTCACATAAGTGGTACAGTATCCATAATTTTGTTACTAGATTAATTCAGGTGACATAAGATTCTCAATGTTCATCTTAAAATGTAACAAGATTTTTTTGAAGGTGGAATAATATTCTATTGTATGTATAGGTTACATTTTTTGATATGTTTATAAATCAAGAGACATCTGGGTTATTGCTTCGGCCCTTTGGCTTTTGTGAATACTGCTGCAATAAAATGGATTTTCAAATATGCCTCCCATATCCTGTGTTGCTTTTTTTTTTGTTTGTTTTTTTCAGATGGAGTCTTGCTCTGTCGCCTAGGCTGTTGACAGTGGTGAGATCTCAGCTAACTGCAACCTCTGCCTCCTGGTTTCAAGCAATTCTGCTTCAGCCTTTCAAGTAGCTGGGGTTACAAGTTCCCACCATGATGCCCAGCTAATTTTTTGTATTTTTAGTAGAGAAGGGATCAGGTTGGTCTCAAACTCCTGATCTCAGTTGATCTGCCCCCCTTGGACTCCCAAATTGCTAGGATTACAGGCTTGATCCACTGCGCCTGGCCTTTGTTACATATTTTGGATATAGACTTATAAATGAGGAGCATTTGTAACTTTCTAAAATAATGGCTGCATCTTTGTTTTCCACCAACAATTAACATGGGCTTCACTTTTATTGCATCGTCAACAGATTTGATGTTTTTAAAAATATTTGTAGTGGTCCTCCTAATGGGTGTGAGGTGATTTTGTTTGTCAGTGGTTTTTTTTTGTTTTTTTTTTCATTTCTTTACAAGTTAGTAATTTTTTGTGTCCTTTCAAATGCTTTTTCCCATTTGTGTACTTTTCTAATGAAAAATTTTTTGTCCATTTCTAAATCAAGTTATTCAATTTTATTGTTTAAAGAGTTGTTTATATATTTTGAATATTAACTTCTTTCACATGTGATTTGCAAATGTTTTCACCCGTTTTCTAAGGGATGTTGTTACTCTTGAATTGTTTTTTGGTATGCAGAAATTTTGAAGTCTAGTGTAGTTAAACTTTTCTGTTATTTCATTTGCTGCTCATGCATTTAATTTTGTAGCTAAGAAAATGATGCCAAGACCAATGTCATGTCTTTTTTCTGTAGTTTTTCTAAAAGATTTGTTAGTTTTTTTATGTCCAAGCATTTTATTTAAAATATATTTTAATTCAAGGAAATAATCCAACTTTTTTATCAGTTTTGATATTCAGTTTTCAACATCATTTTTTGAAGAGATTATTTTTCTCTGTTTTGTGCTCATGGCAACGTTGTGGAAGATCATTTGATCATATATAGAAGGGTTCATTTCTGAACTCTCTATTTTGTTCTTTCATCTGTTAATCTTTGTGTCAATATCACACTGTTTATGTTCTGTAGCTTTTAACTGTAGGTTGGATTGACATCTTTGAAAAATGACATTTTTTGACACAGAGCAAGAATATGTTGAAGAGTGTGTTTCATATTCACATAGTTTTGAATATGCCAGTTTGACTTTTGCTTTTAATTCCTAGTTTCATTCAGTTTTTGTTAGAAAACACGCAATGTATAATTTTAGTCTTCTTAACGTAATTTGTTGTTGTTTTGAGACAACATCTTGCATCCCAGGCTGCGGTGCAGTGGCATAATTTTGGCTCACTATAGCCTCAGCCTCCTGGGCTCAAGAGATCCTTTCACTTCAGTTTTCTGAGTAGTTAGGACTACAGACATGCACTACCATGTCTGGATAATTGTTTGCTTGTTTGTAGTTTTAGGATCTCACAATGTTGTCCAGGCTAGTCTCAAACATTTGGCACCAATGGATCCTCTTACCTTGGTATCACAAAGTGTTAGGATTATAGGCAAGAGCCACTTCACCCAGTTAGTATTTTTAAATTTAATAAAACTTGCTGTGTCCTAACAGAATGCATCAGGTGCAAATAGGAATATTGTGTATTATCTTGGTTTTCACTGGAGAGTTTTGTATGTGTCTGTGAAGCCTAGTTCATTCATAATATTATTTGGATGTCCATGTTCTCCAAACCTCAAGCTGCAATGTAAATCCTCAATGTTGATTGTGGGAACTGGTGGGACATGTTTTTGTCACGGGGGGCAAATTTCTCATGAATGGCTTCGTACAACCTCTTGGTAACCAAAAAGTTTACACTCTATTAATTCAAATGAAAACTGGTTCATTAAAATAATCTGGCACCTTCACCTCACACTTGCTCTGTCTCTTATCATATAATATGTCCAGTTACTCTTTACCTTCCACCATGATTTTAAGCTTCCTGAAATCCTCACCAGAAGCAGATGCTGGCACACACTTATACAGTCTGCCAAACTGTGAGCCAAATAAACCTTTTTTCTTTATAAATTATGCACTCTCAAGTATTCCTCTATATGCAAAATAGTTAATATAGTCTATAATGTCTTAGTTTTCTGTTTCTTATTTTTACCTTAATTTTGTATTTATTACTGCAAATGGGGTCTTGATGTCTACAATTATTATGTTGCTATGTATGTCTTGCTTCACTTTTGTCAATATTTGCTTTATATATTTTAAAGCTCTGATGTTATATACACATATGCAGATAGATAAATAGTTATAGATTCCTGCTAAATCAACTCACTTTATCATAATATAATATCAGTCATTGTCTCATGGCAGTACTTGACTTAAAGCATATTATGTCTAATATAATTATGACCACCTCACTCAATTGTGGTACTATTTTCATGGAATATACTTTTTTTTATTCTATTACTTTCAGCCTACTTGAATCAATGCTAAAATGAGTCTCTTGTAGGGAGCATATTGTTTGCTTTATAAAAAAACCAATCAGGCATTCTATTTTTTCTTCATATAATTGTATTTATTTATAAATTCTTTGCTTTTTTATTCCAGATGGAGTTTCGCTCGTTGCCCAGACTGGACAAGTGCAATGGTGCAATCTCAGCTCACTGCAACCTCTGCCTCCCAGGTTCAAGCGATTTTCCTGCCTCAGCCTCCCAAGTAGCTGGGATTACAGGAACCTGCCACCATGCTTGGCTAATTTTTTTCTATTTTTAGTAGAGACCAGGCGGCCTGCCTCAGCATCTTAAAGTGTTGGGATTACAGGCCTGAGCCACCACACCCAGCCTCGTGTATTTTGGAGATAGGGTCTCACTCTGTCAACCAGGTTGATTTGCTGGGTTCACTGCTGCCCGAACCTCCCAAACTCAGATGATCCTCTCATTTCAGCCTCTCAAGTAGCTGGATTACAAGTATGTGCCATCACACCCAGCTACCTTTTTTGTATTCTTTGTTGAGACAGAGTTTTGCCATACTGCCCATTCTACTCTTGAACTCCTGGGATCAAGTGATCAGCCTACCTTGGCCTTACAAAGTCTTATGATTACATTTCATTTTATTAAATAGTTTAATTAATTTATATTTAAAATGATTGCTTAAAGAAATGAAGTTGTTATTGCCAGTTATATTGTTATTGTTTTATGTGTTTTTAGTAGTATATTTCCCTCATTTCCTTTTTTACTTTCTTAAATTAAATTTAATTAATTAATTAATTAATTAATTATTATTATTATTATACTTTAAGTTTTAGGGTACATGTGCACAATGTGCAGGTTAGTTACATATCTATACATGTGACATGCTGGTGCGCAGCACCCACTAACTCGTCATCTAGCATTAGGTATATCTTCCAATGCTATCCCTCCCCCCTCCCCCCACCCCACAACAGTCCCCAGAGTGTGATGTTCCCCTTCCTGTGTCCATGTGTTCTCAGTGTTCAATTCCCACCTATGAGTGAGAATATGTGGTGTTTGGTTTTTTTGTTCTTGCAATAGTTTACTGAGAATGATGATTTCCAATCTCATCCATGTCCCTACAAAGGACATGAACTCATCACTTTTTATGGCTGCATAATATTTCATGGTGTATATGTGCCACATTTTCTTAATCCAGTCTATCATTGTTGGACATTTGGCTTGGTTCCAAGTCTTTGCTATTGTGAATAATGCCACAATAAACATACGTGTGCATGTGTCTTTATAGCAGCATGATTTATAGTCCTTTGGGTATATACCCAGTAATGGGATGGCTGGGTCAAATGGTATTTCTAGTTCTAGATCCCTGAGGAATCGCCACACTGACTTCCACAATGGTTGAACTAGTTTACAGTCCCACCAACAGTGTGAAAGTGTTCCTGTTTCTCCACATCCTCTCCAGCACCTGTTGTTTCATGACTTTTTAATGATTGCCATTCTAACTGGTGTGAGATGGTATCTCATTGTGGTTTTGATTTGCATTTCTCTGATGGCCAGTGATGGTGAGCATTTTTTCATGTGTTTTTTGGCTGCATAAGTGTCTTCTTTTGAGAAGTGTCTGTTCATGTCCTTTGCCCACTTTTTGATGGGGTTGTTTGTTTTTTTCTTGTAAATTTGTTTGAGTTCATTGTAGATTCTGGATATTAGCCCTTTGTCAGATGAGTAGGTTGCGAAAATTTTCTCCCATTTTGTAGGTTGCCTGTTGACTCTGATGGTAGTTTCTTTTGCTGTGCAGAAGCTCTTGAGTTTAATTAGATCCCATTTGTCAATTTTGGCTTTTGTTGCCATTGCTTTTGGTGTTTTAGACATGAAGTCCTTGCCCATGCCTATGTCCTGAGTGGTAATGCCTAGGTTTTCTTCTAGGGTTTTTATGGTTTTAGGTCTAACGTTTAAGTCTTTAATGCATCTTGAATTGATTTTTGTATAGGTGTAAGGAAGGGATCCAATTTCAGCTTTCTACATATGGCTAGACAGTTTTCCCAGCACCATTTATTAAATAGGGAATCCTTTCCCCATTGCTTGTTTTTCTCAGGTTTGTCAAAGATCAGATAGTTGTAGGTATGCAGCATTATTTCTGAGGGCTCTGTTCTGTTCCGTTGATCTATATCTCTGTTTTCATACCAGTACCATGCTGTTTTGGTTACTGTAGCACTGTAGGATAGTTTGAAGTCAGGTAGTGTGATGCCTCCAGCTTTGTTCTTTTGGCTCAGGATTGACTTGGTGATGCAGGCTCTTTTTTGGTTCCATATGAACTTTAAAGTAGTTTTTTCCAATTCTGTGAAGAAAGTCATTGGTAGCTTGATGGGGATGGCATTGAATCTGTAAATTGCCTTGGGCAGTATGGCCATTTTCACGATATTGATTCTTCCTATCCACGAGCATGTAATGTTCTTCCATTTGTTTGTATCCTCTTTTATTTCATTGAGCAGTGGTTTGTAGTTCTCCTTGAAGAGGTCCTTCACATCCCTTGTAAGTTGGATTCCTAGGTATTTTATTCTCTTTGAAGCAATTGTGAATGGGAGTTCACTCATGATTTGGCTCTCTGTTTGTCTGTTGTTGGTGTATAAGAATGCTTGTGATTTTTGTCCATTGATTTTGTATCCTGAGACTTTGCTGAAGTTGCTTATCAGCTTAAGGAGATTTTGGGCTGAGACAATGGGGTTTTCTAGATATACAATCATGTCATCTGCAAACAGGGACAATTTGACTTCCTCTTTTCCTAATTGAATATCCTTTATTTCCTTCTCCTGCCTCATTGCCCTGGCCAGAACTTCCAACACTATGTTGAATAGGAGTGGTGAGAGAGGGCATCCCTGTCTTGTGCCAGTTTTCAAAGGGAATGCTTCCAGTTTTTGCCCATTCAGTATGATATTGGCTGTGGGTTTGTCATAGATAGCTCTTATTATTTGGAGATATGTCCCATCAATACCTAATTTATTGAGAGTTTTTAGCATGAAGTGTTGTTGAATTTTGTCAAAAGCCTTTTTTGCATCTATTGAGATAATCATGTGGTTTTTGTCTTTGGTTCTGTTTATATGCTGGATTACATATATTGATTCGTGTATATTGTACCAGCCTTGCATCCCAGGGATGAAGCCCACTTGATCATGGTGGATACGCTTTTTGATGTGCTGCTGGATTCGGTTTGCCAGTATTTTATTGAGGATTTTCACATCAATGTTCATCAAGGATATGGGTCTAAAATTCTCTTTTTTGGTTGTGTCTCTGCTCAGCTTTGGTATCAGGATGATTCTGGCCTCACAAAATGAATTAGGGAGGATTCCCTCTTTTTCTATTGATTGGAATAGTTTCAGAAGGAATGGTACCAGTTCCTCCTTGTACCTCTGGTAGAATTTGGCTGTGAATCCATCTGGTCCTGGACTCTTTTTGGTTGGTAAGCTATTGATTATTGCCACAATTTCAGAGCCTGTTATTGGTCTATTCAGAGATTCAACTTCTTCCTGGTTTAGTCTTGGGAGAGTGTATGTGTCGAGGAACTTATTCATTTCTTCTAGATTTTTCTAGTTTATTTGCTTAGAGGTGTTTGTAGTATTCTCTGATGGTAGTTTGTATTTCTGTGGGATCAGTGGTGATATCCCCTTTATCATTTTTTATTGCATCTACTTGATTTTTCTTTTTTTCTTTATTAGTCTTGCTAATGGTCTATCAATTTTGTTCATCCTTTCAAAAAACCAGCTCCTGGATTCATTAATTTTTTGAAGGGTTTTTTGTGTCTCTATCTCCTTCAATTCTGCTCTGATTTTAGTTATTTCTTGCCTTCTGCTAGCTTTTGAATGTGTTTGCTCTTGCTTTTCTAGTTCTTTTAATTGTGATGTTAGGGTGTCAATTTTGGATCTTTCCTGCTTTCTCTTGTGGGCATTTAGTGCTATAAATTTCCCTCTACACATTGCTTTGAATGTGTCCCAGAGATTCTGGTATGTTATGTCTTTGTTCTCATGGGTTTCAAAGAACATCTTTATTTCTCCCTTCATTTCATTATGTACCCAGTAGTCATTCAGGAGCAGGTTGTTCAGTTTCCATGTACTTGAGCAGTTTTGTGTGAGATTCTTAATCTTGAGTTCTAGTTTGTTTGCACTGTGGTCTGAGAGATAGTTTGTTATAATTTCTGTTCTTTTACATTTGCTGAGGAGAGCTTTACTTCCAAGTAGGTGGTCAATTTTGGAATAGGTGTGGTGTGGTGCTGAAAAAAATGTATGTTCTGTTGATTTGGGGTGGAGAGTTCCGTAGATGTCTATTAGGTCTGCTTGGTGCAGAGCTGAGTTGAATTCCTGGATATCCTTGTTAACTTTCTGTCTCATTGATCTGTCTAATGTTGACAGTGAGGTGTTAAAGTCCCCCATTATTAATGTGTGGGAGTCTAAGTCTCTTTGTAGGTCACTCAGGACTTGCTTTATGAATCTGGGTACTCCTGTATTGGGTGCATATATATTTAGGATAGTTAGCTCTTCTTGTTGAATTGACCCCTTTACCACTAAGTAATGGCCTTCTTTGTCTCTTTTGATCTTTGTTGGTTTAAAGTCTGTTTTATCAGAGACTAGAATTGCAACCTCTGCCTTTTTTTGTTTTCCATTTGCTTGGTAGATCTTCCTACATCCTTTTATTTTGAGCCTATGTGTGTCTCTGCCCGTGAGATGAGTTTCCTGAATACAGCACACTGATGGGTCTTGACTCTTTATCCAATTTGCCAGTCTGTGTCTTTTAATTGGAGCATTTAGTCCATTTACATTTAAAGTTAATATTGTTATGTGTGAATTTGATCCTGTCATTATGATGTTAGCTGGTTATTTTACTTGTTAGTTGATGCAGTTTCTTCCTAGTCTCGATGGTCTTTACATTTTGGCATGATTTTGCAGCGGCTGGTACTGGTTGTTCCTTTCCATGTTTAGCGCCTCCTTCAGGAGCTCTTTTAGGGCAGGCCTGGTGGTGACAAAATCTCTCAGCATTTGCTTGTCTGTAAAGTATTTTATTTCTCCTTCACTTATGAAGCTTAGTTTGGCTAGATATGAAATTCTGGGTTGAAAATTCTTTTCTTTAAGAATGTTGAATATTGGCCCCCACTCTCTTCCGGCTTGTAGAGTTTCTGCTGAGAGATCCGCTGTTAGTCTGATGGGCTTCCCTTTATGGGTAACCCGACCTTTCTCTCTGGCTGCCCTTAACATTTTTTCCTTCATTTCAACTTTGGTGAATCTGACAATTATGTGTCTTGGTGTTGCTCTTCTCGAGGAGTATCTTTGTGGCGTTCTCTGTATTTCCTGAATCTGAACATCGGCCTGCCTTGCTAGATTGGGGAAGTTCTCCTGGATAATATCCTGCAGAGTGTTTTCCAACTTGGTTCCATTCTCCCCCTCACTTTCAGGTACACCAATCAGACGTAGATTTGGTCTTTTCACATATTCCCATCTTTCTTGCAAGCTTTGCTCATTTCTTTTTATTCTTTTTTCTCTAAACTTCCCTTCTCCCTTCATTTCATTTATTTCATCTTCCATCGCTGACATCCTTTCTTCCAGTTGATCGCATTGGCTCCTGAGGCTTCTGCATTCTTCTTGTAGTTCTCAAGCCTTGGTTTTCAGCTCCATCAGCTCCTTTATGCACTTCTCTGTATTGGTTATTCTAGTTATACATTCTTCTAATTTTTTTTCAAGGTTTTCAACTTCTTTGTCTTTGGTTTGAATGTCCTCCTGTAGCTTGGAGTAATTTGATCATCTGAAGCCTTCTTCTCTCAGCTCATCAAAGTCATTCTCCGTCCAGCTTTGTTCTGTTGCTGGTGAGGAACTGCGTTCCTTTGGAGGAGGAGAGACGCTCTGCTTTTTAGACTTTCCAGTTTTTCTGCTCTGTTTTTTCCCCATCTTTGTGGTTTTATCTACTTTTGGTCTTTGATGATGGTGATGTACAGATGGGTTTTTGGTGTGGATGTCCTTTCTGTTTGTTAGTTTTCCTTCCAACAGACAGGACCGTCAGCTGCAGGTCTGTTGGAGTACCTGGCCATGTGAGGTGTCAGTCTGCCCCTGCTGTGGGGTGCCTCCCAATTAGGCTGCTCAGGGGTCAAGGGTCAGGGACCCACTTGAGGAGGCAGTCTGCCCGTTCTGAGATCTCCAGCTGCATTCTGGGAGAACCACTGCTCTCTTCAAAGCTGTCAGACAGAGACATTTAAGTCTGCAGAGTTTACTGCTGTCTTTTTGTTTGCGCCCTGCCCCCAGAGGTGGAGCCTACAGAGGTAGGCAGGCCTCCTTGAGCTGTGGTGGGCTCCACCCAGTTCTAGCTTCCCGGCTGCTTTGTTTACCTAAGCAAGCCTGGGCAATGGCGGACACCCCTCCCCAGCCTCGCTGCGGCCTTGCAGTTTGATCTCAGACTGCTGTGCTAGCAATAGGTGAGACTCCCTGGGCATAGGACCCTCCGAGCCAGGTGCAGGATATAATCTCCTGGTGCGCCATTTTTTAAGCCCGTCGGAAAAGTGCAGTATTCGGGTGGGAGTGACCTGATTTTCCAGGTGCCGTCTGTCACCACTTTCTTTGATTAGGAAAGAGAACTCCCTGACCCCTTGCACTTTGCGAGTGAGGCAATGCCTCGCCCTGCTTCAGCTCTCGCACAGTGTGTGCACCCACTGACCTGTGCCCACTGTCTGGCACTCCCTAGTGAGATGAACCCAGTTCCTCAGATGGAAATGCAGGAATTCACCCGTCTTCTGTGTCGCTCACACTGGGAGCTGTAGACTGGAGCTGTTCCTATTCGGCCATCTTGGCTCCTTCCCTTAATTTAATTTTCTACTGAAATGCTTTATTTTTTATTTTCTTTTGCATACTTTCTATAAATATTATCTTTGTAATCGTCTTGAAAACTGGAGATTACATACATCTTAAAGTTAAAGCAATATAAATCTCATAACAACTTCAAATGAATAGAAAAACTATATTTTCCTGTTGATACTAAAATTATTTTATATGTTGTATCTATTAACAGATTTATGAAGTTATATATTATATAAAAGACTTTTAACAGTTTTATGTACCATAAACAGTTTTATGTACATTTTTTTTTTGAGATTGAATCTTGCTGTATTCATTAGGATAGAGTATAGTGGTGCAATCTTGGCTCACTGCAACCTCTGCCCCCTGGTTCAACAATTCTTCTGCTTCAGCCTCCCAAGTAGCTGGGATTACAGATGCCTCCCACCAAGCCTGGCTAATTTTTTGTATTTGCATTTTTTTATTATACTTTAACTTTTAGGGTACATGTGCACAACATGCAGGTTAGTTACATATGTATACATGCACTATGTTGGTGTGCTACACCCAGTAACTCGTCATTTAACATTAGTTATATATCTCCAAATGCTATCCCTCCCCCCTCCCCACACCTCACAACAGGCCCCAGTGTGTGATGTTCCCCTTCCTGTGTCCATGTGTTCTCAGTGTTCAATTCCCACTTATGAGTGAGAACATGCGGTGTTTGGTTTTGTGTCCTTGCAATAGTTTGCTGAGAATGATGCTTTCCAGCTTCATTCATGTCCCTACAAAGGACATGAATTCATCATTTTTTATGGCTGCATAGTATTCCATGGTGTATATGTGCCACATTTTCTTAATCCAGTCTATCATTGTTGGACATTTGGGTTGGTTCCAAGTCTTTGCTATTGTGAATAGTGCCGCAATAAACATATGTGTGCCTATGTCTTTATAGCAACATGATTTATACTCCTTTGGGTATATACCCAGTAATTGGATTGCTGGATCAAGTGGTAGTTCTAGTTCTAGAACCCTGAGGAATGGACACACTGACTTCCACAATGGTTGAACTAGTTTACCGTCCCAAGAACAGTGTAAAAGTGTTCCTGTTTCTCCACATCCTCTCCAACACCTGTTGTTTCTTGACTTTTTAATGATCGCCATTCTAACCGGTGCGAGATGGTATTTCATTGTGGTTTTGATTTGCATTTCTCTGTTGGCCAGTGATGATGAGCATTTTTTCATGTGTCTGTTGGCTGCATAAATGTCTTCTTTTGAGAAGCATCTGTTCATATGCTTTGCCCACTTGTTGATGAGGTTGTTTGTTTTTTTTCTCATAAATTTGTTTGAGTTCTTTGTAGATTCTGGATATTAGCCCTTTGTCAGATGAGTAGATTGCAAAAATTTTCTCCCATTCTGTAGATTGCCTGTTCACTCTGATGGTAGTTTCTTTTACTGTGCAGAAGCTCTTTAGTTTAATTAGATCCCATTTGTCAATTTTGGCTTTTGTTACCATCGCTTTTGGTGTTTTAGACATGAAGTCCTTGCCCATGCCTATGTCCTGAATGGTATTGCCTAGGTTTTCTTGTAGAGTTTTTATGGTTTTAGGTCTAACATTTAAGTCTTTAATCCATATTGAATTAATTTTTATATAAGGTGTAAGGAAGGGATCCAGTTTCAGCTTTCTACATATGGCTAGACAGTTTTCCCAGCACCAGTTATTAAATAGGGAATCATTTCCCCATTTCTTGTTTTTGTCAGGTTTGCAAAAGATCAGATTCTTGTAGATATGGGGCATTATTTCTGAGGGCTCTGTTCTGTTCCGTTGGTCTATATCTCTGTTTTGGTACCAGTACCATGCTGTTTTGGTTACTGTAGCACTGTAGGATAGTTTGAAGTCAGGTAGTGTGATGCCTCCAGCTTTGTTCTTTTTGCTTAGGATTGACTTGGCAATGCAGGCTCTTTTTTGATTCCATATGAACTTTAAAGTAATTTTTTCCAATTCTGTGAAGAAAGTCATTGGTAGCTTGATGGGGATGGCATTGAATCTATAAATTACCTTGGGCAGCATGGCCATTTTCATGATATTGATTCTTCCTACCCATGAGCATGGAATGTTCTTCCATTTGTTTGTATCCTCTTTTATTTCATTGAGCAGTGGTTTGTAGTTCTCCTTGAAGAGGTCCTTCACGTCCCTTGTAAGTTGGATTCCTAGGTATTTTATTCTCTTTGAAGCAATTGTGAATGGGAGTTCACTCATGATTTGGCTCTCTGTTTGTCTGTTATTTGTGTATAAGAATACTTGTGATTTTTGCACATTGATTTTGTATCCTGAGACTTTGCTGAAGTTGCCTATCAGTTAAGGAGATTTTGGGCTGAGACAATGGGATTTTTCTAGATATACAATCATGTCATCTGCAAACAGGGACAATTTGACTTCCTCTTTTCCTAATTGAATACCCTTTATTTCCTTCTCCTGCCTGATTGCCCTGGCCAGAACTTCCAACACTATGTTGAATAGGAGTGGTGAGAGAGGGCATCCCTGTCTTGTGCCAGTTTTCAAAGGGAATGCTTTCAGTTTTTGCCCATTCAGTATGATATTGGTTGTGGTTTTGTCATAGATAACTCTTATTGTTTTGAGATATGTCCCATCAATACCTAATTTATTAAGAGTTTTCAGCATGAAGGTTGTTGAATTTTGTCAAAGGCCTTTTCTGCACCTATTGAGATAATCATATGGTTTTTGTTACTGGTTCTGTTTATATGCTGGATTATGTTTATTGATTTGTGTATGTTGAACCAGCCTTGCATCCCAGGGATGAAGCCCACTTGATCATGGTGGATAAGCTTTTTGATGTGCTGCTGGATTCAGTTTGCCAGTATTTTATTGAGGATTTTTGCATCGATGTTCATCAGGGATATTGGTCTAAAATTCTCTTTTTTTGTTGTGTCTCTGCCAGGCTTTGGTATCATATTGATGCTGGCCTCATAAAATGAGTTAGGGAGGATTCCCTCTTTTTCTATTGATTGGAAGAGTTTCAGAAGGAATAGTACCAGCTCCTCCTTGTACCTCTGATAGAATGCAGCTGTGAATCCATCTGGTCCTGGACTTTTTTTGATTGGTAAGCTATTAATTATCACCTCAATCCCGAGGCTGTTACTGGTCTATTCAGAGATTCAACTTCTTCCCGGTTTAGTCTTGGGAGGGTGTATGTGTTGAGGAATTTATCCATTTCTTATATATTTTCTCATTTATTTGCGTAGAGGTGTTTGTAGTATTTTCTGATGGTAATTTATATTCCTGTGGGATTGGTGGTGATATCCCCTTTATCATTTTTATTGCGTCTATTTGATTCTTCTGTTTTCTTCTTTATTAGTCTTGCTAGTGGTCTATCAATTTTGTTGGTCTTTTCAAAAAACCACCTCCTGGATTCATTGATTTTTTTGAAGTGTTTTTTGTGTCTCTATTTCCTTCAGTTCTGTTCTGATCTTAGTTATTTCTTGCCTTCTGCTAGCTTTTGAATGTGTTTGCTCTTGCTTCTCTAGTTCTTTTAATTGTGGTGTTAGCGTGTCAATTTTAGATCTTTCCTGCTTTCTCTTGTGGGCATTTACTGCTATAAATTTCCCTCTACACACTGCTTTGAATGTGTCCCAGAGATTCTGGCATGTTCTGTCTTTGTTCTCATTGGTTTCAAAGAACATCTTTATTTCTGCCTTTGTTTTGTTATGTACCCAGTAGTCATTCAGGAGCAGGTTGTTCAGTTTCCATGTAGTTGAGCGGTTTTGAGTGAGTTTCTTAATCCTGAGTTCTAGTTTGATTGCACTGTGGTCTGAGAGACAGTTTGTTATAATTTCTGTTCTTTTACATTTGCTGAGGAGTGCTTTACTTCCAACTATGTGTTCAATTTTGGAATAACTGCAGTGTGGTGCTAAGAAGAATGTATATTCTGTTGATGTGGGGTGGAGAGTTCTGTAGATGTCTATTAGGTCCGCTTGGTGCAGAGCTGAGTTGAATTCCTGGATATCCTTGTTAACTTTCTGTCTCGTTGATCTGTCTAATGTTGACAGTGGGGTGTTAAAGTCTCCCATTATTATTGTGTGGGAGTCTAAGTCTCTTTGTAGGTCTCTAATGCTTGCTTTATGAATCTGGGTACTCCTGTATTGGGTGCATATATATTTAGGATAGTTAGCTCTTCTTGTTGAATTGATCCCTTTACTATTATGTAATGGCCTTCTTTGTCTCTTTTGATCTTTGTTGGTTTAAAGTCTGTTTTATCAGAGACTAGAATTGCAACCCCTGCCTTTTTTTTGTTTTCCATTTGCTTGGTAGATCTTCCTCCATCCCTTTATTTTGAGCCTGTATAATATCCTGCAGAGTGTTTTCCAGCTTGGTTCCATTCTCCCCATCACTTTCAAGTACATCAATCAGACGTCGATTTGGTTTTAGTAGAGATAAGGTTTCACCATGTTGGCCAGGCTGTTCTTGAACTTCTGACCTCAGGTGATCCACCCACCTCAGCCTCTCAAAGTGCTGGGCTTACAGGTGTGAGCCACAGCATCCAACTGGAAGTTACTTTTTATCTCACTATTCACAACGTTTCATATCAATACAAAGATTGACACATCTACATATAAATATACATAGGAAGACAAAAACCCACATAGAGAATTATATAAATATTTCTATCTAAATATTTATGTATACAAAACATATTCCCCAAGAGATATTTTTAACCTTTTAGCATGCTCTAAAGATGCTAATGTAGAATCAATTTTTCCTTCTTTAGCTAAATAACATTTCAGAATGGAACATATCAACAAAGCTCTATCTTCAAGGGCAAGTCCACAGAAATAAGCTGAAAATAAAGTCATGTAACACATCTGTCCAGGACAGTATTTCAGCGCCCTGCATTTGGTACATGTTCCGTTCACATGCACCATTTGGCGCCTGTCTTGACAAAGTCACAGTCACCATTTAGATAATTGCATGATTGGATCCACCTGGACTGAGCTACTTGGCTGGTTGAAATCACCAAGGCTGTGCAAATTGGCTGATTGCAATCACCCGGTTTCTGCTCATTTACTTATTTAATTGATCTTGGCTTCAGGGGTAGCATACGGAGATGTCTTCTGACCTACTTTTTTTCTGTGGCTTTTGAGAGTCGTATGCAGAAATAAACATTACATAGACATAACCATGTGACTCATTTTGTGTGTATATGTTTAACGAGCCACCTATTTCATATCTGTATGTACAGAAAGAAGCCTATAAAATAAACTTGATCAGAGGTTATTTCCATTTTCTTTCCGAACAGGTTAGATAAATTCAATCAGCTACTGAGCTCAGTGAAGATTTATTCAAACCAAGCCATACACCACATTTTTTTAAATAAATGTAAAAATGTGTTTAATAACGTGGCTCCTGGGTGTTTTTAATTCTGGTCTCATTAAACCAGCCCGGTGAGCTTCTTTTCATCTTTCTGGAAACTGCCAGAAATGCTTGACACCAGTGGGCTGAGCCTTCCTCACAAAGATTTGACCTGGCAAATAGAGCCACCTGTGACACTTCAGCGAATGTTCACTATCACCCATTTGAAATGTGGCCAAGTACCATGTACCATTATATTTGCTTCCATGATCACCATCTGTCTTCTAAAAAGAGACCTAGACTAATATTTTCTTACCATAAATACCCAACTTCTGCCACAAAGACAAAAAGACAAGAGTGTGATTTTACATCGCACACTCTTGGGAATACACACAGTTCTTGTCTTGATGAAAGTTCTAAAGAGAAAGAGTAAGTATTCTCATATTTAGGTTAGAACCTTTGGACTGGGGCTGGTTCATCTCTGACCTTACGTACAACAATAAAAGAAAAGTCAACCCTGATATGGCAGTAAATAACTCCAATGGCCTTAGAAAATTTGTATCATCCAGAAGTGCACAACAAAGTTCAGTGCTTCCTTTGAATATATTAAGTGCAGCAGGATGTATATCAAAGCATTCCTCTATTTCTGTACTATTCTAGAAATAGTATTCTACAGGGAAAATATTTTATGCATGTATGAAAGGTTTTGTATTACTGTTTGTAGCAATACCTATCAATACTTCCACAGTCAACATCTTTATTCTGTATGAATATAAATACAAAGATTGTTACAGCTTCAGATATTATATATATATATTTATATATACTTAGGTATATATATGAATATATGTACACACCTGGTAGATACATAAACGCAAACTTATATGAATGTGTATATGTAAATATTAATGTATACATAAAATATTTTCCCACTTTTTAAAATATAGAGCATATACTAAGGATGCAGATGTAGAATTAATTGCCTTCTGTTTTTTTCAATAGCATAACAGAATAAAACATAGCCATACAATGTGGTTTATATAAACAAAAACCTTCAGCTTCAGGTTTCAGGTCTTGTAAATAAGCTGACAGTAAAGCTGTGTGGTACATACTGTCCAGCTTAGCATATAGGGCCCTGCATTTCTTCTTGGTGTGCCTGGGCTATTTACATTTACCATTTTGGGCATGCCTTAATGAATTGGCAGCTGCTAGATAATTGGCTGATTGGGATCACCTGGACTGAGCTAATTAGCTAATTGAATTCACCTGGATTGATTAATTGGCTGATAGAAATCACCTGGGTTAAGCTGATTCACTGATTGAAATCACCTGGGCTGAGTGATGCGGTGGTTTAAAATCACCTGTGCTAAACTAATTGGCTTATAAGATTCACATCAGCTGAGATAACTGGCTGATTAATATCACCTGGAGTAAGTTAGCTGGCTCTTAAAAATTACCTGGGCTAATCAGCTGGGCTGACCTAATTTGCTGATTGGATTCTCCTGGGATGTGCTAATGGGCTGCTTGGAATCCCCAGAGGCAAGCTAATTGGCTGATTTAAATTATCTGAGCTGAGATAATTTATTCAGAAAAGTTCAACACTTGGCCCAGCCAGCAGCTCATGCCTGTAATCCCAGTACTTTGGGCGGCCAATGCAGAGGGATTACTTGATGTCAGGAGTTCGAGACCAGCCTGGCCAACATGATGAAACCCCATCTATAGTAAAACTGTAAAAATTAGCCAGGTGTGGTGGTGGGCGCCTGTAAGCCCAGGTACTGGCAAGGCTGAGGCAGGAGAATCACTTGAACCCGGAAGGTGGAGGTTGCAGTGAGCCGAGATTGTGCCATTGCACTCCAGCCTGGGCAAGACTGAAACTTTGTCTCAAAAAAAGAAAAAAATATATATATTATATATTATATAAAAATATATATAATATATTATATATTATATAAAAATATATATAATATATTATATATTATATAAAAATATATATAATATATTATATATTATATAAAAATATATATAATATATTATATATTATATAAAAATATATATAATATATTATATATTATATAAAAATATATATAATATATTATATATTATATAAAAATATATATAATATATTATATATTTACATATACAAAATATATATTCATATATAAATATACATATATATTAAATATATATTTACATATATATTTCTATATATTATATATAATATATATTTCTATATATTATATATAATATATATTTCTATATATTATATATAATATATATTTCTATATATTATATATTATATATTTCTATATATTATATATAATATATATTTCTATATATTATATATAATATATATTTCTATATATTATATATAATATATATTTCTATATATTATATATTATATATTTCTATATATTATATATAATATATAAATATATGATATATCATATATGATATATAGTATATAATATATATCATATATGATATATATCTCATATATGAGATATATATCATAAATATCTCATATATATGAGATATATCATAAATATCTCATATATGATATATATATCATATATCTCAATATGAGATCTATATCATATATCTCATATATAGATATATATCATATATGATATTATATATTTATATATGATATATCATATATTTATGTATTATATAAATATAATTATATTTAAATATAATTATATATTTAAATATAATTATATATTTAAATATATAATTTAAATATAATTATATTTAAATGTATAATTTAAATATAATTATATATTTAAATATATATAAACATATAAATAAATATTACATATTATATATAATAATGTAAATATATATTTTATACATTATATATATTATTTTTATATATTATATTTATTATATATTATATATATTTATATATTATATATATTTTATATATATATACTGTCAGAGGATAACTTGAAGTATTTTAAAGATGTTCTCTAGGAATCTAAAACTATTTTTACTTTTAGTTTCTATAAACATTTCTTAAGCATTTTTAATTTCCAAAAAAAACTTTTACATAATGTCAGTTTCATTTTTCTGAAGAATTTAAATAGAGTAAAATTATACACATCAGAAAACCTACTTTTCTGGTAATGGATCAACTTAATTTTCAGAACATATATGTTAAACTTCACAAAATTTTATGCTGACCAGTTTGCTCAGTAGCCTCTTACATACAACTGGGAGAGATGACACAAAGACGTAGCGTTCATGTTGGGTGAGAGATTAAATGACTACCAGTAGCTAATTTCTGTTTTACTAACAAATGTTGATTTTCATTTCCATATTGTCTCAAGTTATCTTAATAATGAAGTAATAAACTTTATCCAGGAAATTTCAAAAAACTTATCTTTTAATCAGCCATAATAGTATGCAAAAACAGAGAAATGAAGGTTAACAGTCATAATTTATATATTAAAATTAAAATACTTCTAGAGATAAAGACGGGAAAGGAGAAAGAAATATACAAACAAATGAAAGGCAGCCTGGTGAACATGGTGAAAGCCTGCCTCTACTAAAATTACAAAAATTAGCCTGGTGTGGTGGCTTACACCTGTAACCTCAGCTACTCAGGAGGCTTAGGCATGAGTATCACTGAACCTGGGAGGCAGAGTTTGCAGTGAGCAGAGATCACGCCACTGCACTCCAGCATGGGCGACAGAATGAGACTCCATCTCAAACAAAGCAAAACAAAAACAAAATCAAAATAGAAGGAAGGAAGTGGATTACTCACAACAGCTAAGGTATGAAATCAACCTAAGTGTCCATCAATAGGTGAATGGAAAAAGAAAATATGGTATGTGTACACAGTGAAATGCTATTCAGCCCTTAAAAATAAGGTCTTGTTATTTGCAACAACATTCATGAACCTGAAAGACATTATACTAAGTAAAATAAGTCAACACGGAAAAAAACAGAAAACATAATCCTTTTTTTTTTTTTTTTGAGGTGGAGTTTTGCTCTTGTCACCCAGGCTGGAGTGCAGTGGCACCATCTCCACTCACTGCAACATCTGCCTCCAGGTTCAAGAGATTCTCCTGCCTCAGCTTCCTCAGTACCTGGGATTACAGGCACTTGCCACCATACCCAGCAAATTTTTATATTTTCTGTAGAGATAGAGTTTTCCTATGTTGGCCAGGCTAGTTTCAAACTCCTGACCTCAAGTGATCCACCCACCTCGGCCTCTCAAAGTGTTGGGATTACAGGCATGAGCCACTGTGCCTGACTCATATAATCCTATTTCTATGTAAAGTGTAAAAAAAAATTTAAACTCATAGAAGCAGACAGTACAATAATGAAACAAAAAAAATCCCCTAAGAGGTTTTTTGTCTGATAAAGAGAGCTTCTTCATGATCTTTCAGGGATTTTTTTTTTTTTAAATTTTCTGCATTCTCCTGTTCTTCAGCCAATGGTTGAAAAAAGATACAGAGAAGACACATTTGCCTTTTATCCACTTCACTTCCTCTTACTATTAGTCAATGTTGGTACAGCCGAGAATAGCTATTTTCTGGGAGGACAGCCACTTCTCAGCAATATTTGAATGCTTTCTTCACTTTATATCAGTGAAAAACAGGCCAGCAAGTCCTAGGAAAGCACAAGGTGCTATTGCTACTTTAACAATGATCAGGCCGAGCATGGTGGTTCACGCCTGTATTCCCAGTACTTTGAGAGGCCGAGGTGGGTGGATCACAACGTCAGGAGTTTGAGACCAGCCTGGCCAATATGGTGAAACCCTGTCTCTTCTAAAAGTACAGAAATTGCTGAGCACAATGGCTCATGCCTGTAATCCCAGCAGTTTGGGAGGTGGAGGGCAGTGGATTGCTTGAGGTCAGCAGTTTGAGACCAGCCTGGGCAACATGGTGAAATCTGGTCTCCACTAAAAATATAAAAAATTAGCTGGGCATGGTGGTGGGCACCTGTACTCCCAGCTACTAGGGAGGCTGAGGCAGGAGAATCATGTAAACCAGAAAGTTAGAGGTTGCAGGGAGCCAAGATCATGTCACGGCACTCCAACCTGGGTGACCTAGTGAGACTGTCTCAAAAAAAAAAAGTTATTATGAAATCATGAATAGCACTTGTTTGGTTGCTACTCCCATGTCAAACAATGTTATTTGGCTTAAGGTACTGGTTTTTATTTTATTTTATTTTTGAGACGGAGTCTTGCTCTTGTTGCCCAGGCTGGAGGGCAATGGCATGATCTTGGCTCACTGTAACCTCTGTCCCCGAGTTTCCCACAATTCTTCTACCTCAGCCTCCCCAGTAGCTGGGATTACAGGCACCTGCCACCATGCCCAGCTAATTTTTTGTATTTTTAGTAGAGATGGGGGTCTCACCATGTTAGTCAGGCTGGTCTCGAGCTCTAGACCATAGGTGATCCACCTGCCTCAGCCTCCCAAAGTGCTGAGATTACAGGCATGAGCCACCGCATTCAGCCTGGTTTTCTTTTTTTTTTTTTTTCTAACTACCGGTAATATAAAATTCTTCACTAAGAAGACTTTATCTTATTCAAATGTTTTGAGATTTCATTGACATTTAACTGTCTGAATTATCTGGAATATTGAAATTTTCCATGAACTCAAATTGATTACCATAGATAATCTTTTAGTAAAAGCTTTTCTGAGGCAGAGTAAGATTTATAACATTTTATTATCATATGGAAGATGTGTATTAGCCATGTTTTCGGTAATCACTCTGAACACAGCACTCTCTGTTCCAAGTGCAAAAAGTAAAGTAGAGGTTCCTCTTCAAAGACTTTCCTCCCCATCTAATTAGGAATAAACAGTAACTTCTCTTAGAAGCAAAATTTATTCAAAGTCCTGTGCTAACATTCTTAAATATCTGCTAGCCATAATAAAAAAATCAATGTACTTTCTTCTTAGCTCCCACAATTTAGCCTAAATATTTGCCCTGGCATGCTTATACTAGTCCAAGCAAGCATTAGGTCATAGCCTGTTACTCTTCCTTATTTGGTGTTTTTACCTTTCTCAGCATTCCACAAGTTACTTCCTCCTTCCTTCATTCTCCTCTGCCTTTGCCTCTTTTAAAAAGTTCTAAGTCACTAAACAATGGGGGGAAATACAGAATTTGAGGTCTTGTTTCAGCCAATGAAAACTAGACACAGCAGTAGAAAGGATGCGTCAGGTTATAAATGACCTTGTCTCCTTTGTTTGATGTACTTTGATGGCAAAACTGCTGAAGAGTGTACACTTTCTGCAAAAAGTAAAAATGGTCTTGCTAAGAAAATTAATGTTCGAGTGCTATTTCCTTATGGCACCAGAGAACAAGCATTTCTAACCCAGTATGGACCCTGAGTAACTGAGGAAGAATTGGTATCTCTGTAAAAAGGTAGAAGAAAATGCTGAGTGGAGGTGCACCACACTGCACATCAATGCTTTCCACATGCACCTATTAGGGTCTTAATTTAATTGGGCTGTTATTTGCATAGCTAGATACTTACTAAATTTAATCATACTATTTTTTAGCAGCTAATGGCATCTGTTACCCATTAATTTTATCCATTTGCTTTTTTGAAAAACAAATCTTTTGTTAATTCACTCTAAATTGAGACTACATTTACAATCTTCAATTTTTCAGTGTTGAAGTAAATCAGAGTAGAGCAATGTGTGTATATAATGTGCATTTTCCTGCCTATCAAAATTCTTCTGGCCGGGCACAGTGGCTCATACCTGTAGTCACAGCACTCTGAGGTCAGCTGTTCAAGATGAGCCTGGCTAACAAGGTGAAATCCCATCTCTACTAAAGATACAAAAATTATCCGGGCATAATGGTGGTTGCCTGTTATCCCAGCTACTCGGGAGGCTGAGGCAGGAGAATCGCTTGAACCAGGGAGGCAGAGTTTGCAGTGAAATGAGAACACACCATTGCACTGCAGCCTGGGTGAGAGAGAGAATCCATCCTTCATTTACTTGGAAACCCTGGGAAGCCACCTATAAAATATTCCCTTTGAATAGTTTAGCCAGGATTTTAGATTTCAAAAGGTCAAAAACAATCATTGAGCAAAGCCAAAATCTTTCTGTTTCTCATTAGTCATCTGGCCATTTCCGTAAGTATGGCAATTTCGCCAAGCCATTGAAAAGATGACAATATTCAAGGTGTTTAGTTTAGCCAAGCCATTGAAAAGATGTGGTTTTGGTTAATTTTATCCCATTTCAAATGTTTTCTCTAGTTGTTATTTTGTCCTGTGACTCTAAAAGAAACTGTCTACTAACTAATCATACATTCAAAAAATATTCATATTAAGGTGTTTACAGTTTAATCTTGTATTACAGTATAGTAGAATCCTCTATAATTAGAAGTTAATTATAAATTCATTGCTTTTAAGGTTTTTGAAATGTGAAAACAATTAAGTACGCTTTTTGAAATAAGTACAATTCTAGGACATTACCCACTGGTCTTCATGGTATTTCTGTAATGAATACTATAAAACTGGGTCACCAGAATGGTGCAGACATGCTGATTAAAACAGAATGAGTTCAGCATTGTTGGTAGACTATCAGTATCCCAGAGGCTGATCATTCACTACAGCTTACTAAATATTGTTCTATGATGCCAGTGAACACTTTTACTCAGGTTACCCTTTTCCTACCATTAATGTGGTCCTGTTGTGGTCTCCTGTTTCTCTTAAGCTATCCCAGATGAGAGGTGATTATTTCTTGCATGAATGAAAGTCCCTTTTTTACCCTCTGCCATAAGATCCTCTTATTCTCTTTACTGAAATCAACATGCAGGAGGCAGGAATGATGACAATATACAAACACGTTTCCTGTTATGTGGCCACCATAAGCAGCTTACAACATGTTCCACCAAGAAGTCACTTACTTTCAGGCCAGCAGGGGTGTTTTTCTATGACGTGTCTCTTTCTCTCAAAACCACATCTGATTAAGTTTAGCACAAGCAGGATAATCTCCATTTTGATAAACACAAAGGCAACACATGAGTAACCTAATTTCATGAGTGATTTCCTACCACAGTCACACGTTTCTACACTCAAGAAGAAAGTATTACACAGCTGGTGTGTAACAGACTGGGAATTCAGGGTATTATCTTAGAACGTTGTCTACCCACATAAATAAACTTTTAAAATAGTCTTTTGCCTGTCACAGTGGCTCATACCTGTAATATCAGCACTGTGGGAGGCTGAGGCAGGCAGATCATGAGGTCAGCTGTTTGAGACCAGTCTGGCCAACATGATGAAACCCTGTCTCTTCTAAAAATATGAAAATTAGTCGGGCGTGGTAGCACACACCTGTAATCCCAGCTACTAAAATGGCTGAGGCACAAGAATTGCTTGAACTCAGGAGGTGGAGGTTACAGTGGGCTATCACGCCACTGCACTCCAGCCTGGGTGACAGAGCAAGACTCCATCTTGAAAAAGAAAAAAAAAAAGTCTTTCTGCTGCTTTTGTTATCTACATAAACAAAGACATCAACTGGATATAATAATTAACTACTTTCCAGTTTTATTCACTACAAATCTTAACTAACATTTTTTTCTGGCTCATTTTTCCTTTATGCACCATTTTATATGTTCACACACACATAGAACAATAAAAATATATTCAATTATTCAATTTTGGTTGAATGTTCATTAAAATAGGTGTTAAAATGATTTTTTTGTTTGTTTGAAGAGGGGTTTTATTGTTGTATTCAAGAGTGTTGTTTCTGGAGACAAAGTTGCCTGTGCTTTAATAAGCAGATTCCGGGGAGAATCCGAATCATAAGCCATAACATTTTACACTAATAAATTGAATACAAACCAGAAAGTATAGATTTGCTTTTAGCATTTTCAAGGTGTTTAGTTTTGTTAATCATCTAATTAAAATGATTTGTTTTGTTGCAATAATTGCTCTTTCCTTCTGAAAATATGTACAAACTCATACTCACAAAAACACTCGCTTCATAATTTTCATACACCTAAGGTTTATCTTCAGAGTAATATGAGTATATTTAACCCTATGTAAATTAAAACTAAAAGTCTATATGCTTGCAGGCAGAGAGACCACATGTTCAAAGACAGCTATGTAACAAATATTTATTAATAAACTTTCAGGACTCAGAAATGTATGGACTTTATTTCTATTTCTTTTTTTTTTTTTTTTGAAATGGAGTCTCACTCTGTCATCTATGCTGGAGTGTAGTGGTGCGACCTTGGCTCACTGCAACCTCCACCTCCCGGGTTCAAACAATTCTCCTGCCTCAGCCTCCAGGTGTGCACCAAAATGCCTGGTCAATTTTTGTATTTTTAGTAGAGAAGGGGTTTCACCATGTTGGCCAGGCTGGTCTTGAACCCCTAGCCTCAAGCATTCCACCTGCCTTGGCCTCCCAAAGTGCTGGAATTACAGGCGTGAGCCACTGCACCTGGACATATTTTATTTGTATTTTTGTATAATTATTATAACCATAAAAAAATCCTGTAGTCAATAACAATTTAATTGTACATTTTAAAATGAACAAAAGCATATAATTACACTTTTGGTAATACAAAGGATAAATGCTAGAGGTGACGGACACCTTATTTACCCTAATGTAATTACTGCATATTGTAGGCCTGAGTCAAAAGATGCCATATAAGGCATAAATACATACACATACTATATACGCACAAATACAAATAACAAATTTCAAGAAGAAAATAGAGTACAAATTTAATCTGTGGGAACAATATTCTTTAACTCATTTGCAGTTTAAAGCCACGGGCAAAGTGATTACTAGAAATGTTATTCCACTATATGCCAAATTGTGTATTGTTACCATCTTGTAGCTTCACCCTTGAGTAAGGTAGGATCGTTTAAAGTTAGTGGCATAATAATGCTTCATTAAATGCACAGTAGTCTTAACATGGTTAAAAAAATAATAAAATTAAGTTCACACATAATCTAACTTTTTTGGGGGGGGTGGAGGCAGTTTTTTTCTTTTTGTCCAGGGTGGAGTGCAATGGCAAGATCTTGGCTCACCACAACCTCTGCCTCCCTTGTTCAAGCAATTCTCCTGCCTCAGCCTCCTAAGTATTTTTTGTATTTTTTGTATTTTTAGTAGAGATGGGGTTTCTCCATGTTGGTCAGGCTGGTCTCGAACTCCTGACCTCAGGTGTTCCACCCACCTCGACCTCCCCAAGTGCTGGGATTACAGGCATGCGCCATTGAGCCCAGCCCTAGCAATTTTTAAATGTACTGTATTTCATTACATAAAAGTACAATTAGTAAAATAATATACTATTTTATTTTAATATACTTTTAACTATAATTATTTCCTTGTGACACTATAATGTAGAAAAGTATTGCTCTGAACATTTACCTTATACTTAATAGAGGTTTACTACAAAGAACCTCTCCACTTATATTTTCATTATGCATCTTACATTTTAATGTCCTTATTCTTTTATAGAAAAGGTCATAATATCCAAATAATTTTTTAAAATATCTAATATCTCTAATGCAGAAGCAATTGATCACATGCTTTCACATGTGAATAAAACAGGAATAAACTAACAGCATGAAGTAATTTGAAAGCTGTATTATATCATTATTCAGTTTTCAAAAAATTTTATTCAAGGAAACAAGTGTACTTTCAATGTAACTACAATGCTTCCAAAAATCTCTTTTTAAAGTTACATACAAATCATTTATCTAAAAACTGTAGTTGTGGATTAGTTTTTATAGTCAACACTCTGATTTAGTGTAATGTCTTAAGTGTCAGTGCCTTAGTTATTCTACTGTAAATTCTGACATTTATATACATTCTATTTTGAATTGTTTTTATATTTACTGCATCTGCAAAATTATACTTTAGTATAAACTCTCTGGTGTTTTCTAAGCTGTTGTTTCTGAAAAAAAAAAGTGTTTCTAAACTTATTACATTTGCAGGACTAATCTCCAACATAAATTCCCTGATGTTGAACAAAGCTTGAGCAATTGCTTCACTGTTTTCCTCTGGTACAAATGTGTGCAACAAGTAAATGCGCTATAACCCCCTTTATAGTTGTAATAGTTGTCTTCAAAATAAATACTTTTCTTCATTTTAAAGGCTTATAGATTCTGAAAGATTTTTTTGACAGTAATTGCACTTTTAATGCTTTTATTAAAAGGAACCTTTTTATGTTAAGATGTGAGTAGGAATTAATGGGTTTTCCATATTCCTTATATTTGTATAATTTTTCTCAAGGATAATAGCTTTCCTGTGAAATAAGGGGTAAGAACTGATTAAATGTTTTGCCACATTCTTCAAACTTGTAGGAGTTTTGCCAGTATGACAGTAGGAGTTTTGCAGTCTTACCTACAATCAAGTGTGGCAACCACATAAAGGCTATGTCACATTATATATAATTCTAGGGTTTCACACCACAATAATTATTGTTATATATAGAGAATTTGGAGGTGTTGGTAAAAGCACTGTCACATGTTTTTTAGGTTTGTAGAGTTCTTCTTCGGCAGGAATTATCACCAAATCTCTTAAGAATTAAGAAATGGTGGCCAGGCATCATGGTTCATGTCTGTAATTCCAGCACTTTAGGAGGCCAAAGCAGGTGGATCGCCTGAGGTCAGGAGTTTGAGACCACCCTGAAAAACATGATAAAAATTGCATCTCTACTAAAAATATGAAAATTAGCTGGGCATGGTGGTAGGCACTTGTAATCTTTTTTAATTTTTTTATTTTATTATTATTGTACTTTAAGTTTTAGGGTACATGTGCACAATGTGCAGGTTTGTTACATATGTATACATGTGCCATGTTGGTGTACTGCACCCATTAACTCATCATTTAGCATTAGGTGTATCTCCTAATGCTATCCCTCCCCCCTCCCCCCAACCCACAACAGTCCCCGGAGTGTGATGTTCCCCTTCCTGTGTCCATGTGTTCTCAATGTGCAATTCTCACCTATGAGTGAGAACATGCAGTGTTCGGTTTTCTGTCCTTGCGATAGTTTGCTGAGAATGATGATTTCCAGTTTCATCCATGACCCTACAAAGGACATGAACTCATCATTTTTATGGCTGCATAGTATTCCATGTTGTATATGTGCCACATTTTCTTAATCCAGTCTATCGTTGTTGGACATTTGGGTTGGTTCCAAGTCTTTGCTATTGTGAATAGTGCCGCAATAAACATACGTGTGCATTTGTCTTTATAGCAGCACGATTTATAGTCCTTTGGGTATATACCCAGTAATGGGATGGCTGGGTCAAATGGTATTTCTAGTTCTAGCTCCCTGAGGAATCGCCACACTGACTTCCACAATGGTTGAACTAGTTTACAGTCCCACCAACAGTGTAAAAGTGTTCGTATTTCTCCACATCCTCTCCAGCACCTGTTGTTTCCTGAGTTTTTAATGATTGCCATTCTAACTGGTGTGAGATGGTATCTCATTGTGGTTTTGATTTGCATTTCTCTGATGGCCAGTGATGGTGAGCATTTTTTCATGTGTTTTTTGGCTGCATAAATGTCTTCTTTTGAGAAGTGTCTGTTCATGTCCTTTGCCGACTTTTTGATGGGGTTGTTTGTTCCTGTAAATTTGTTTGAGTTCATTGTAGATTCTGGATATTAGCCCTTTGTCAGATGAGTAGGTTGCGAAAATTTTCTCCCATTTTGTAGGTTGCCTGTTGACTCTGATGGTAGTTTCTTTTGCTGTGCAGAAGGTCTTTAGTTTAATTAGATCCCATTTGTCAATTTTGGCTTTTGTTGCCATTGCTTTTGGTGTTTTAGACATGAAGTCCTTGCCCATGCCTATGTCCTGAATGGTATTGCCTAGGTTTTCTTCTAGGGTTTTTATGGTTTTAGGTCTAACATGTAAGTCTTTAATCCATCTTGAATTAATTTTTGTATAAGGTGTAAGGAAGGGATCCAGTTTCAGCTTTCTACATATGGCTAGACAGTTTTCCCAGCATCATTTATTAAATAGGGAATGCTTTCCCCATTGCTTTTTTGTCAGGTTTGTCAAAGGTCAGATAGTTGTAGATATGTGGCATTATTTCTGAGGGCTCTGTTCTGTTCTATTGATCTATATCTCTGTTTTGGTACCAGTACCATGCTATTTTGGTTATGTAGCCTTGTAGCATAGTTTGAAGTCAGGTAGCGTGATGCCTCCGGCTTTATTCATTTGGCTTAGGATTGACTGGGCAATGTGGGCTCTTTTTTGGTTCCATATGAACTTTAAAGTAGTGTTTTTCAATTCTGTGAAGAAAGTCATTGGTAGCTTGATGGGGATGGCATTGAATCTATAAATTACCTTGGGCAGTATGGGCCATTTTCATGATATTGATTCTTCCTACCCATGAGCATGGAATGTTCTTCCATTTCTTTGCATCCTCTTTTATTTCGTTAAGCAGTGGTTTGTAGTTCTCCTTGAAGAGGTCCTTCACATCCCTTGTAAGGTGGATTCCTAGGTATTTTATTCTCTTTGATGCAATTGTGAATGGGAGTTTATTCATGATTTGGCTCTCTGTCTGTTATTGGTATATAAGAATGCTTGTGATTTTTGTACATTGATTTTGTATCCTGAGACTTTGCTGAAGTTGCTTATCAGCTTAAGGAGATTTTGGGCTGAGACAATGGGGTTTTCTAGATATACAATCATGTCATCTGCAAACAGGGACAATTTGACCTCCTCTTTTCCTAATTGAATACCCTTTATTTTCTTCTCCTGCCTCATTGCCCTGGCCAGAACTTCCAACAATATGTTGAATAGGAGTGGTGAGAGAGGGCATCCTGTCTTGTGCCAGTTTTCAAAGGGAATGCTTCCAGTTTTTGCCCATTCAGTATGATATTGGCCGTGGGCTTGTCATAGATAGTTCTTATTATTTTGAGATACATCCCATCAATACCTAATTTATTGAGAGTTTTTAGCATGAAGTGTTGTTGAATTTTGTCAAAGGCCTTTTCTGCATCTATTGAGATAATCATGTGGTTTCTGCCTTTGGTTCTGTTTATATACTGGATTACATTTATTGATTTGCGTATGTTGAACCAGCCTTGCATCCCAGGGATGAAGCCCACTTGATCATGGTGGATAAGCTTTTTGATGTGCTGCTGGATTCGGTTTGCCAGTATTTTATTGAGGATTTTCACATCAATGTTCATCAAGGATATTGGTCTAAAATTCTCTTTTTTGGTTGTGTCTCTGCCCAGCTTTGGTATCAGGAAGATGCTGGCCTCATAAAATGAGTTAGGGAGGATTCCCTCTTTTCCTATTGATTGGAATAGTTTCAGAAGGAATAGTACCAGCTCCTCCTTGTACCTCTGGTAGAATTCGGCTGTGAATCCACCTGGTCCTGGACTCTTTTTGGTTGGTAAGCTATTGATTATCACCTCAACCCCAGAGGCTGTTATTGGTCTATTCAGAGATTCAACTTCTTCCTGGTTTAGTCTTGGGAGGGTGTATGTGTTGAGGAATGTATCCATTTCTTCTAGATTTTCTAGTTTATTTGCGTAGAGGTGTTTGTAGTATTCTCTGATGGTAGTTTGTATTTCTGTGGGATCAGTGATGATACTCCCTTTATCATTTTTTATTGCATCTATTTGATTCTTCTCTCTTTTCTTCATTAGTCTTGCTAGCGGTCTATCAATTTTGTTGATCCTTTCAAAAAACCAGCTCCTGGATACATTAATTTTTTGAAGGGTTTTTTGTGTCTCTATTTCCTTGAGTTCTGCTCTGATTTTAGTTATTTCTTGCCTTCTGCTAGTTTTTGACTGTGTTTGCTCTTGCAATTCTAGTTCTTTTAATTGTGATGTTAGGGTGTTAATTTTGGATCTTTCCTGCTTTCTCTTGTGGGCATTTAGTGCTATAAATTTCCCTCTACACACTGCTTTGAATGTGTCTCAGAGATTCAGGTATGTTGTGTCTTTGTTCTCATTGGTTTCAAAGAACATCTTTATTCCTGCCTTCATTTCATTATGTACCCAGTAGTCATTCAGGAGCAGGTTGTTCAGTTTCCATGTAGTTGAGCAGTTTTGAGTGAGTTTCTTAATCCTGAGTTCTAGTTTGATTGCACTGTGGTCTGAGAGACAGTTTCTTATAATTTTTGTTCCTTTACATTTGCTGAGGAGTGCTTTACTTCCAACTATGTGGTCAATTTTGGAATAGGTGTGGTGTGGTGCTGAAAAAAATGTATATTCTGTTAATTTGGGGTGGAGAGTTCTGTAGATGTCTATTAGGTCCGCTTGGTGCAGAGCTGTGTTCAATTCCTGGATATCCTTGTTAACTTTCTGTCTCATTGATCTGTCTAATGTTGACAGTGGGGTGTTTAAGTCTCCCATTATTATTGTGTGGGAGTGTAAGTCTCTTTGTAAGTCACTCAGGACTTGCTTTATGAATCTGAGTGCTCCTGTATTGGGTGCATATATATTTAGGATAGTTATCTCTTCTTGTTGAATTGATCCATTTACCATTATGTAATGGCATTGTCTCTTTTGATCTTTGTTGGTTTAAATTCTGTTTTATCAGAGACTAGGATTGCAACCCATGCCTCTTTTTTTGTTTGTTTTCCATTTGCTTCGTAGATCTTCCTCCATCCTTTTATTTTGAGCCTATGTGTGTCTCTGCACGTGAGATGGGTTTCCTGAATACAGCACACTGATGGGTCTTGACTCTTTATCCAATTTGCCTGTCTGTGTCTTTTAATTGGAGCATTTAGCCCATTTACATTTAAAGCTAATATTGTTATGTGAGAATTTGATCCTGTCATTATGATGTTAGCTGGTTATTTTGCTCGTTAGTTCATGCAGTTTCTTCCTAGTCTCGATGGTCTTTACATTTTGGCATGATTTTGCAGCGGCTGGTATCAGTTGTTCCTTTCCATGTTTAGTGCTTCCTTCAGGAGCTCTTTTAGGGCAGGCCTGGTGGTGACAAAATCTCTCAGCATTTGCTTGTCTGTAAAGTATTTTATTTCTCCTTCACTTATGAAGCTTAGTTTGGCTGGATATGAAATTCTGGGTTGAAAATTCTTTTCTTTAAGAATGTTGAATATTGGCCCCCACTCTCTTCTGGCTTATAGAGTTTCTGCCAAGAGGTCAGCTGTGAGTCTGATGGGCTTCCCTTTGTGGGTAACCCGACCTTTCTCTCTGGCTGCCCTTAACATTTTTTCCTTCATTTCAACTTTGGTGAATCTGACAATTATGTGTCTTGGAGTTGCTCTTCTCAAGGAGTATCTTTGTGGCGTTCTCTGTATTTCCTGAATCTGAATGTCGGCCTGCCTTGCTAGATTGGGGAAGTTCTCCTGGATAATATCCTGCAGAGTGTTTTCCAAGTTGGTTCCATTTTCCCCCTCACTTTCAGGTACACCAATCAGAGGTAGATTTGGTCTTTTCACATAGTCCCATATTTCTTGGAGACTTTGTTTGTTTCTTTTTAATTTTTTTTCTCTAAACTTCCCTTCTCACTTCATTTCATTCATTTCATCTTCCATCACTGATACCCTTTCTTCCAGTTGATCGCATTGGCTCCTGAGGCTTCTGCATTCTTCACATAGTTCTTGATCCTTGGCTTTCAGCTCCATCAGGTCCTTTAAGCATTTCTCTGCATTGGTTATTCTAGTTATACATTCGTCTAATTTTTTTTCAAAGTTTTTAACTTCTTTGCCTTTGGTTTGAATTTCCTCCTGTAGCTCGGAGTAGTTTGATCGTCTGAAGCCTTCTTCTCTCAACTCATCAAAGTCATTCTCCATCCAGCTTTGTTCTGTTGCTGGTGGGGAACTGCATTCCTTTGGAGGAGAGGTGCTCTGCTTTTTAGACTTTTCAGTTTTTCTGCTCTGTTTTTTCCCCATCTTTGTGGTTTTATCTACTTTTGGTCTTTGATGATGGTGATGTACAGATGGGTTTTTGGTGTGGATGTCCTTTCTGTTTGTTAGTTTTCCTTCTAACAGACAGGACCCTCAGCTGCAGGTCTGTTGGAATTTGCTAGAGGTCCACTCCAGACACTGTTTGCCTGGGTATCAGCATCAGTGGCTGTAGAACAGCGGATTTTCATGAACCGCAAATGCTGCTGCCTGATCGGTCCTCTGGAAGTTTTGTGTGAGGAGTACCCAGCCGTGTGAAGTGTCAGTCTGCCCCTACTGGGGGGTGCCTCCCAGTTAGGCTGCTCGGGGGTCAGAGACCCACTTGAGGAGGCAGTCTGCCCGTTCTCAGATCTCCAGCTGCGTGCTGGGAGAACCACTACTCTCTTCAAAGCTGTCAGACAGGGACGTTTAAGTCTGCAGAGGTTACTGCTGTCTTTTTGTCTGTGCCCTGCCCCCAGAGGTGGAGCCTACAGAGGCAGGCAGGCCTCCTTGAGCTGTGGTGGGCTCCACCCAGTTCTAGCTTCCCAGCTGCTTTACCTAAGCAAGCCTGGGCAATGGCAGGCACTCCTCCCCCAGCCTCGCTGCTGCCTTGCAGTTTGATCTCAGACTGCTGTGCTAGCAATCAGTGAGACTCCATGGGCATAGGACCCTCTGAGCCAGGTGCAGGATATAATCTGGTGTGCCATTTTTTAAGCCCATTGGAATTGCGCAGTATTAGGGTGGGAGTGACCCGATTTTCCAGGTGCCATCTGTCACCCCTTTCTTTGACTAGGAAAGGGAACTCCCTGACTCCTTGCGCTTCGTGAGTGAGGCAATGCCTCGCCCTGCTTCGGCTCATGCACAGTGCACTGCATCCACTGTCCTGCAGCCACTGTCTGGCACCCCCTAGTGAGATGAACCTGGTACATCAGACGGAAATGCAGAAATCACCCATCTTCTGCGTCACTCAGGCTGGGAGCTGTAGACAGGAGCTGTACCTATTCAGCCATCTTGGCTCCACCCCCCATAATCTCATCTACTAGACAAGCTGAGGCAGGAAAATGGCTTGAACCCGGGAGGCAGAGGTTTCAGTGATCCGAGATCATCACATTGTATTCCAGCTTGGGTGACAAGCATGAAACTTCATCTCAAAAAAAAAAAAAGAATTGATTGAAAATTGTTATAGGCTATGCCACATTCTTCACAGGTGTAGGGTTTCTATCCAGTATGAATTATGTGTAATAAGGGTTGAGAACTTCCTAAAAGCTTTGTCACATTCTTTATATTTGTAGTGTTTGTGTTCCATAAATTCTCATATTTAGTAAAAGTTGATAGCTGGTTAAAGTCTTTCCCACATTCATCAAACTCATAGGGTTTCTCTCCAGTATGAATTATCTTATGTCTAGTAAGGGTAGAGGAGTGTCTAAGGCTTTGCCACATTTTCACATTTGTAGGGATTCCCTCCCATATGAATTATCTCATGTCTACTAAGGTTTGAGGATGAAATAAAGGCTTTGCCACATTTATTGCACTTGTGTGGTTTCCCTCCAGTATGAATTTTCTTATGTGAAAAAAGGGTTGCGGGATGATTAAAAGCTTTGCCACATTCTTCACATTTGTAGGGTTTCTCTCCAGTATGAATTCTCTTATGTCTAGTAAGGGTAGAGGAGTACTTAAAGTCTTTGCCACATTCTTCACATTTGTAGGGTTTATCTGCAGTATGAATTCTCTTATGTGTAGTAAGAATAGAGGAGCACTTAAAGGCCTTGCCACATTCTTCACATTTGTAAGGCTTCTCTCCAGTATGAATTTTCTTGTGTTTAGTAAGGTTAGAGGAGCGGTTAAAGGCTTTGCCACAGTCTTCACATTCGTAGGGTTTCTCTCCAGTGTGAATTATCTTATGTGTAGTAAGAATAGAGGACCGACTGAAGGCTTTGCCACATTCTTCACATTTGTAGGGTTTCTCTCCAGCATGAATTCTCTTATGTTTAGAAAGGGGAGAGGAGTGCTTAAACACTTTGCCACATTCTTCACATTTGTAAGGTTTCTTTCCAGTATGAATTATCTTATGTGCAGTAAGGGAACAGGAGTACTTAAAGGCTTCACCACATTCTTCACATTTGTAGGGTTTCTCTCCAGTATGGATTATTTTATGTTTAGTAAGGGTAGAGGAGTACTTAAAGCCTTTGCCACATTCTTCACATTTGTAGGGTTTCTCTCCAGTATGAATTCTCTTATGTGTAGTAAGGTGTGAGGACCAGTTGAAGGCTTTACCACATTCTTCACATTTGTAGGGTTTCTCTCCAGTATGAATTATCTTATGTGTAGAAAGGGAAGAAAGGTACTTAAAAACTTTGCCACATTCTTCACATTTGTAGGGTTTCTCTCCAGTATGAATTCTCTTATGTGTAGTAAGGATAGAGGAGCGCTTAAAGGCCTTGCCACATTCTTCACATTTGTAGGGTTTCTCTCCAGTATGAATTTTCTTATGTGTAGTAAGGTTAGAGGAGCGGTTAAAGGCTTTGCCACAGTCTTCACATTTGTACCGTTTCTCTCCAGTATGAATTATCTTATGTGTAGTAAGGTGTGAGGACCGGTTGAAGGCTTTGCCACATTCTATACATTTATAGGGTTTCTCTCCAGTATGAATTTTCTTATGTGTAGTAAGGGTTGAGGACCGGTTAAAAGCTTTGCCACATTCTGTAAATTTGAAAGGGTTTTTTCCAGTATGTCTTATCTTATGTCTGTTTGTATTTGAAAATTGATGAAAGACTTTCCCATGTTTATCACATTGAAACATTTTGCTTTGGGTAGTTGTCAAACATTGGTTAAGTCCATTATAACCTCTTTTGTGCACTTTACACTTATCCACACTTTCACAGCCTTTTTTTAACTGCAAATTATCATGTCCACATTTTTTATGTCTTCTCAGTATCAGTTTTTGGAAAGAATCTTTTATGCTCTGCTCTGGCCAAAGGTCTTGGTTAAAATGAGAACACAAAACTGAAAGAAACCATAAAAACACACTACTTCACTTGCTAGACTCAGATAAATATACTTTACAAATCTAACCTATAAAATTATACAAACTACATAAACAAGATGACGTAGCAAAATATCACAAGCTGTAATTTCTTCCTGGACATATAAATGTAACAAAAACATACTGCCCAAAATACATTTGTAAAAAATTTATAAATGAGTTAAGTGTATGAAGGGCCCAAGGTGAGTACAATGCAAAGAGCCACATAGAAGAAAAAAAAAAGTCTGTTACTTATACCCAACAGAGCTCTTCCTGCTCTCCAGTGTAACATTGTGCCTTTAAAAGTAAATTGCTGGTCAGGCGTGATGGCTCACACCAGTAATCTCAGCACTTTGGGAGGCTGACATGGGTTGATCATGAGGTCAGGAGTTCAAAGGCAGCCTGGCCAAGATGGTGAGAACCCATCTCTACTAAAAACACAAAAAACTAGACAGGCATGGTGCAGGAACTTGTAATCTCAGCTACTCAGGAGGCTGAGGCAGAGAATTGCTTGAACCCAGGAGGCAGAGGTTGCAGTAAGCTGACATCATACCACTGCACTCCAGCCTGGGTGACAGAGTGAGACTCTGTAATGGCAGATATTGTAGTGACCAAGATCATGCCTCTGAACTACAGCATAGGTAACAGGGCAAGACTCTCTCTCTCTCTCTCTCTCTCTCTCTCTCTCTCACACACACACACACACACACACACGTAAATTGCCAAATCCTGGTTTCTTTTAAAAAGCAGGAAAAATATTGGCACATACATCTTAATTTTTGGCTTTTAGGGGCTTTTCTAGACACTGGTAAATGTCTCCCATGACATAAAATGCTGAAGGAAATGACGATATAAGTTGGATTAACAGTTTGAGTCTGCTGAGTCTAAACATAAATGTCACAGAAGCAGAGATACTGCCCTACCCCAAACAGGGAATAAGTCTAGCAAGTGATTACTGATTATTAAGAAGAAATATGAATAAGCCAATTTAACTAAACAATAAACACAAAATTTTAGACAAGACACATCCTAAAAACATGTTTGAGAAATTCCCAAAATCTCTAGCCATGACAATTGATTTCAGACTATGCCAGAATAAAGTTATATCTTAAAGATTCTAACAGGTAGCTTTTTGTTAATGTCCAAAGCTCAATCAAAGATTACAATGAATACAAAATATTAGAGCAACATGGCCCCATCAGTGAGTGAAGATTGTACCTCTGCACTACAGCCTGGACAACAGAGGAAGCCTGTCTCAAAAATATAATAAAATAGGGTGGGCAGGATGGCTCACACCTGTAATCCCAGCACTTTGAGAGGCCAAGGTGGATGGATCATTTGAGGTCACAGGTTCAAGATTAGCCTGGCCAACATGGTGAAACCTTATCTCTACTAAAAATATAAAAAAATAGCCAAGTGTGGTTGTGAGCACCTATAATCCCAGTTACTGAGGAGGCTGAGGCAAGAGAATTGCTTGAACCTGGGAGATGGAGGTTGCAGTGAGCCTGCACCACTGCACTCCAGTTGAGGTGACAGAGACAGACTCTGTCTCAGAAAATAATAATAAAATAAATAAATAAAATAAAATAAATTGAATAATATTCAGTAAGTTAAATAGGAACACAGGCAACTACTGAAGATCAGAAAAATGAGAATAACAACCAGAAACATTTAAATAGCAAAAAACAAAAATCGTGGATATAAAAATACAAAACATAATTGGAAAATTTCTTTAAAAATGTACACACCAAGATATTTATAACAAACACATATAATAAGCAAAATTTCAAAAATCACAGATAAGAGAATTTTGGGAGCTGTAAGATAAAAATGATGTGTCATTTATAAGCATAGTCTCATGATATAACAAGTGAATTTATCAAAAAAATTTTTGCAAGTGAGAAGGAAACTGTGATATTGTTAAAGCTAAAATAATAATTTTAAAAAAGCTGTCAAGTGAGAATAATAGCATCACCACAATTTTACTACCAAATAGAAAGAAGCACTTCCAAAATAACCAAATCCTGAGAATGTATATTGCCACTGCATATGCCTGACATATCAAAGATGGTTGAGTTTCCTCCACTGAAAATAATATAGTGAAAGAAAACAACCCATAATCATATGAAAATATGTAACTTTCTGGGAAAGATATGCACATACACAAAAATGGAATTTCTTAACATTATCATAATGGTGCAGAAAACATTTTTAATTGTTCTCTAAAATTTAAAAGATAAAAACTATAGAAATTATTATAAACATGTTAATGAATATACAAACATAAAAAATATAATTGGCAAACTCAATAACAAAATAGAAGGCAGATGTAATGATGAAAAATTTTTGTATGAAACTGAAGTTGATTTTTTACCACATTTAAATATATTGTTGGATCTTTTAGAGGTTTTATGTAATCCCAGAAGGTACCACTTAGAAAATGTCTGTACAGATACACAAAAGAAAATAAGAAAGAAACTGAAAGCATGTCAATACAAAGATTTAAAAAAAAGAAAGAGAAAATGAGAGACAAAGACACAAGAATAAAATAAAACAATAAAATAAGTTTTTCTTTTGCAGAAAACTATTTAAATATATATAATTATCTCTCCAAATCAAGAGACATACTTTAAATAAAAAGGTTTATTAAAAAATTTTAAAAATCAAGATTCAACTTGCCTTTTTACAAGAGTCAGTTGAGATCTAATAATAAAAAAGGACTGAAAGTGGCAAGATGGAAGTAGAAATTTCATGTAAATATTAACCAAATTAGAGCAAAAGAGCTCAAAATAATATTACACAAGCTGCATCTTAAGTAAGAAAATGTCATATTTTATAAAATGTACTTTAAGTCAAAACTTCAAGAAGGCAAAGAAGGGCTTTAAACAATATATGTATTCTTTCACTGGGAATCTATGACAAATTTGTTTATACATGTATGTATTTGCATGTGTGTGTCTCAGATTAGAGTTTCAAATATATAAAGCAAATACAAAATTGAATACACACAGAGAGCAATATAATTATAGTAGGATATTTCAATACTTCATTTTCTGTAATAATAAAACAAGACAGAATATTAATAAGGGAACAGAGGACTAGAAGGCAGTAAAAAACAATTATTTCTAATGAAGGTATAGAGAACACTCCTCAACAACATCAGGATACACAGCCTTCTCAATAGCTCATACAGCATTCTCTTATATAGACCACAAGTTAGGCCAAAAATGAAGCCTTAACACATTTTTTAAAACTGAAATTTTATAGATTACTTTCTATGACAAAAATGGAATTAGAGTATAAAACAATAATATAAATAATTGATAAATTTACAAATATATGGAAATGAGAAAACACACTCTTGAGCATGCACTTGTTCAGAAAACTGGGCTGTGTGCAGTGACTCACACCTGTAATCCCAGCACTTTGGGAGGTCGAGGTGAGTGATTTTAACTCCACCTCAAAAACAAACTGAAAAAGAAATAATTAATATTGTGAAGATGTCTGTACTGCTCAGTTTAATCTACAGATTTAATTCAATGTTTTTCAAATGTCTCATTGCATTTTTGAAGAAATAAAAACAGCAAATCCAAAAGTATATGGAATCTAAAGAGACAATAAAGTACCCAACAATCTACCAAAATGGAACAATGTTGGAGGCATTACCATTTCTGATTTCAAAACACATCAAAAAGCTACAGAATTAAAATAATTTGTTATGAGTATAAAGGTGAAAAAGTAAACTAATAAAACAGAAGGCAGCACATATATTAGCTTTTGCATAACTACTGCAGTTACTAATTTTACTAATAGTAAAAGCAATGCAAATTTCTGTCACCACATCATTCAGTAGATACAAAAATACAGGACTCTCATTAAACTACTTAATGAAATGAAATGTAATCTTTGAAATGTAATCTTTTTTTTTTTTTTTTTTTGAGACGGAGTCTCGCTCTGTCGCCCAGGCTGGAGTGCAGTGGCGCGATCTCGGCTCACTGCAAGCTCCGCCTCCCGGGTTCACGCCATTCTCCTGCCTCAGCCTCCCGAGTAGCTGGGACTACAGGCGCCCGCTACCACGCCCGGCTAATTTTTTGTATTTTTAGTAGAGACGGGGTTTCACCGTGTTAGCCAGGATGGTCTCGATCTCCTGACCTCGTGATCCGCCCGCCTCGGCCTCCCAAAGTGGAAATGTAATCTTAGGACTTTGGATGGCCAAGGTGGGCCGATTACTTGATCCCAAAAGTTCAAGATCAGCCTGGGCAACATGGCAAAACTCTGTCTCTATGAAAAATACAAAAAAAAGCTAGTTGGGTGTGAGGGCACATTCATGTAACCCAGCTACTTGAGAGGCTGAAATGAGAGGATCATCTGAGTTTGGGAGGTTCGAGCAGCCGTGAGCCATGCAAATCAGCCTGGTTGACAGAGTGAGACCCTATCTCAAAAATACATGAGGCCGGACGCAGTGGCTCACACCTGTAATCCCAATACTTTGGGAGGCCAAGGTGGGCAGGTTACCTGAGGTCAGGAGTTCAAGATGAGCCTGGCCATCATGGGAAAACCCCATCTCTACTAAAAATGCAAAAAATTAGCCAGGTGTGGTGGCATGTGCCTGTAATCCCAGCTACTTGGAAGGCTGAGGCAGGAGAATCACTTGAACCCAGGAGGTGAAGATTGCAGTGAGCTGAGATTGCACCATTGCACTCCAGCCTGGGTAACAACAGTGAAACTCCATCTCAAAAAATAAAATAAAATAAAATAAAATAAAATAAAATAAAATAAAATAAAATGAATAATAAATGAATATATGCATAATGAAAATATTAAAAAAAGATATAGAATGCCTGAGTGGTTTTTTAAAAAGCATACACTATGCTCCCTACAAGAGACTCATTTTAGCATTGAGTCAAATAGGGTGAAAGTAACAGAATGAAAAAAAGTTGTGTACCATGTAACCACAATTGAGTAAGGTGGTCATAATTATATTAGACAGAATATGCTTTAAGTCAAGTACGACCATGGGACAATGACTGATATTATATTATGGTAAAGTGAATTGATTTAGCAGGAATCTATAACTATAATATTTATCTATCTATATGTATATGTGTATATAACATCAGGGCTCCAAAATATATAAAGCAAATATTGACAAAAGTGAAGCAAGGCATACATAGCAACATAATAATTGTAGACAGCAAGAACCCATTTGCAATTAATAAATAGAAAATTCAGATAAAAACTAAGAAAGAGAAAACTGTGACAATATTATAGACCATATTAATTATTTTGCATATAGAGCAATACTTGAGAGGGCATAATTTATAAAGAAAAAAGGTTTATTTGGCTCACAGCTCAGCAGACTGTACAAGAAGTGTGTGTCAGCATGTGCTTCTAATGAGGATTTCAGGAAGCTTAAAATCATGGTGGAAGGTAAGGAATAACTGGATATATTATATGGTAAGAGACAGAGCAAGTGTGAGGTGAAGAAGCCATGTTCTTTTAATGAACCAGCTCTTATTTGAATTGATAGAGTCTAATCTTTTTGGTTGCCAAGAGTATGTACCAAGCCATTCATGAGAAATTCACCCTCATGACCCAAATATGTCCCACCAGGTCCCACACCCAACATTGAGGATTTATATTGCAGCATGAGGTTTGGACAACAAGGACATCCAAACCATATTATAGACCAAATAGGCTTCATAGATACATAAAATACTCTCCCATCAAAACCAAGATAATACACAATATTCTTATTTGCATCTGGTGTATTCTGTTAGGACACATACCCAAGCTTTATTAAATTTAAAAATACCTACTGGGTGCCATGGCTCCTGCCTATAATTCTAACACTTTGGGAGATCCATCGGGGCCAAAAGTTTGAGACCAGCCTGGGCAAAATAGTGAGATCCTAACACTATAAACTAGCAAACAATTAGCCAGACATGGTAGTGCATGTCTGTAGTCCTAGCTACTCAAAAAACTGAGGTGAAAGGATCACTTGAGCCCAGGAGGCTGAGGCTACAGTGAGCCACAATTATGCCACTGCATTGGAGCCTGGGTGACAGTAAGATCTTGTCTCAAAACAACAACCAATCACTTTAAAAACACTAAAATTATACACTGTGTGTTTTCTAACAAAAACTTAATGAAACTAGGAATTAAAAGCAAAAGTCAAACTGGCAGATTCACAAATATGTGAATATGAAACACACTCTTCAACATATTCTTGCTCAGGGGGCAACAAATTTTATTTTTCAAAGATGTCAATACAACCTACAGTTAAAAGCTATGGAACTTAAACAATGTGATACACAAAGACAAACAGATAAAAGAACAGAATAGAGAGCTCAGAAATAAACCGTTCTGTATATGATCAAATGATCTTCCACAGAGTTGCCATGCATACAAAATAGAGAGAAATAATCTCTTCAAAAAATGATGTTGAAAACTGAATGTCAACACTGATAAAATAAAGTTGGATTATTTCCTTGAATGATACAATAATATATTTTAAATAAAATACTTAGATATAAAAATAAACAAATGGGAAAAAGCATTTGAAAAAACACACAAAATTACTAATTTGTAGAGAAATGAAAACAAAAAACACAATACCAACAAAATCACCTCACACTCATTAGGTGTAATAAAAATAAAATCCATGTTGATTGCTGGTGGAAAACAAAGACACAGCCATTATTTTAAAATGTTATAAATATTCCTCATTTATAAATCTATATCTAAAATATGTAACACAGGCCAGGTGCAGTAGCTCAAGCCTGTAATCCTAGCACTTTGGGAGGTTGAGGTGGGCAGATAACCTGAGGTCAGGAGTTTGAGACGAGCCTGGCCAACATGGTGAAATACCATTTCTACTAAAAACACAAAAATTACCTTGGCGATGTGACGTGCACCTGTAATCCCAGCTACTTGGGAGGCTGAGGTAGGGGAATCACTTGAACCCAGAAGGCAGAGCTTGCAGTGAGCCGAGATCGCACCACTGCACTTTAGCCTGGGCAACAGAGCAAGATTCCATCTCAGAAAAAAAAAAAAAAAAAAAAAAAGAAAGAAAAAGAAAAAGAAAGAAAGAAAGAAAGAAAACAACAACAAAAAAACAAAATATGCAACACAGGACCTGGAAGACATAATTGAAAATACATGTATTTTGTACCAGTATTCACAAAAGCCAAAAGGCTAAACCACCATATATATCTTGATTTATAAACACATCAAAAAATATAACATACACATACAATGGAATATTATTCCACTTTAAAAAGAATAATCTTGTCACATTTTAAGATGAACATTGAAAATATTATGCCACCTGAATTAATCCAGTAACAAAATTATGGATACTGTATGATTCCACTTATATGAGATATCTTAAGTAGTCAAAATCATAAAATCAGAAAGTAGAAGGTTTGTCTGTCAAGGGCTGGAAAGAGTGTAAAATGAGCAGTTGTTACTTAATGGGCATTGAGTTTTAGTTTTACAAGATGTAAAGTTTCTAGAAGCCTTTTGCATGACAGTGTGAATATAATTAACATGCCTGAAACGAACAGCTCTTTTTTTGAGACGGGGTCTCACTGTGTCACCTAAGCTAAAGTGTAGTGGCACAATTTTGACTCCCCCTCAATCTCCCAAGTAGCTGGGACCACAGCTGCACACCACCATGCCTGGCTATTATTAATTTTTTTTATAGAGGAGAGTCTCCATATGCTGCCCAGGCTGGTCTCAAACTTTTGGGCTCCAGGTATCCTCCTGTCTTGGCCTCCCAAAATCCTGGGATTACAGATCAGAGCCACCACCACGCCTGGCCCTGAAATGTACACTTCAATAGATTTAAGATGGTAAATTTTACATTATGTGTTTTTAAAACAATTTTTTTTTAAAGAAAAACTGAAAAAAAAATTACATATTTTTTTGAAAATTACCTTCAAATCACAAAAATGTTTCTCTCATGAAAGGAAATACATATTAATCACTAAACACATGGTAAAATAAGACTATCCCCATGAGTACTTACTTAGACAAGATAAAACTACCATGGAAAATAAGCTAAGAAAGAGTATAAGATAAGCCATAACTAAAATTGGTGTCATATTTATAAACAGACATACATATGTAACCTGATTGTGACAGACATGCATAATTTATCTCTTAAACCTAAAATTGACTTAAAGTATACAAGCAGAATTGCAAATTGTCTAAAATTATAATACATAAGTAAAACCAAAACACCCAATAAACTAATGGTAAGAAACCTACACTGAGGCCAGGTGCAGTGGATCATAACTGTAATCCCAGTACTTTGGGAGGCTGAGGTGTGCAAATCACGAGGTCACCAGTTCCAGACCAGACTGGCCAATATGGTGAAACCCCATCTCTTCTAAAAATACAAAAATTAGCCAGGCATGGTGGCGCACGCCAGTAGTCCCAGCTACTCAGGAGGTCAAGGCAGAAGAATCACTTGAGCCCTCGAGGAAGAGGTTACAGTGAGCCAAGATCACGCCAATGCACTCCAGCCTGGGTGACAGAGCAAGACTCCATCCCAAAAAAAAAAAACCTACACTGAAAAAACACACTAATATAAAACTTCAAAACAATAATAAATGTTTACTCATAAAATCTAGCATGCAACATTGATGTATTATTAAAAAATTGTCAGGCCAGGTGTGGTGGCTCACAACTGTTATCTCAACACTTTGGAAGGCCAAGGCAAGCAGCTCACCTGAGGTCAGGAGTTCAAGACCAGCCTGGCAAACTTGGTGAAGCCCTGTCTCTACTAAAAATACAAAAATTTGCCAGGGGTGGTGACACATGCCTGTAACCCCAGCTACTTGAGAGACTGAGGCATGAGAATTGCTTGAACCTGGAAGGTGGAAGTTGCAGTGAGCCACGATCACACCACTGCACCGCAGGCTGGGTGACAGAGTGTGACTCCATCTCAAAAAAAATAAAAATGTTTCTAGGTAACTGAAATATTTAACTGTTAGTGTGTACTCACTAAATGCAGGTATTTTGAATCATTGGCATGCCCTGTGTGGCAGTAAAATTTCAGAGAATATGCAGTATAATTATAAATAGAAGATTCTAGTGAGAAACTTAAAAATTAGCATTTTAAGGAAACTAGTTACTTTTAATGTTTTAAATATATGGTATTTTTACACAAAATAAAACAGCTATAATCAAACTTTAGAAGCAAAGAGTAGCCTTACATTGTTAAATTTAAAATTATATAATTTGCAGAATAGGGTTAGACCCTCTGATATGTAAAACAAATATTGAGAAATAAACTATGTTATTATTTAGATATAGGCTAAAAAAAAGATGAAAATCCTTTAATTCCTTTTTGCCTGCAGCAAACTTAAATTCATAAGTAACTATTTTAGTAATATGGGTCCCTATGAGTTATCTAATTTACTTCAGGCATACCATGCAAATTCTAGCACATTGTCCTAAATATCTGAATCTAAATTTACAGACAAATCTGAAAGAGAAAATAGAAAGTAAAAATGTATAGGGAGAGTGACATCAGTAAGATGAAAAGATTAAAAGTCCCTATTTTCATACTCCCTTACAGCAAAAAAAAAAAAGCCATCTCTGACAAAAATGCCTTTATGAGAGAAACAGGCATTATGGCTCACACCTGTAATGACAGATACATGGTACATTAACGTTGGAGAACTGCTTCAGGCCAGGATTTTGAGACCAGCCTGGGTTATGTAGCAAGACCCCATCTCCAAAATACACGCCACTAAGAGAGATTTGAGATCCAGGGAGGGAGTTGTGAAATGCTGCTAAAGCTTAAGATTGAGAAGTGTTCTATTCAGAAGAGAACCTGCCCTTAGTCAGGTGGGAAACTGCAGGACCCCTACTCATGGCTACAGACCAGATAGGGTTCACCCAACTTGGTCCCACTGAGAATTCTGAACTTACTCTGTAACCAATCCAAACTCCTCCCAGTCAGAGTCTGGCAGAGGTCCTGACATTCAAGAGACCTGGAGGAAGGCACCCATTTACAACAATGTAGGCAGGCCTGCAGACTTTGGACTTTACTGGGATCCCTGAAGCGGTTCTATGACTCAGTTTCAGTTACCTGAGCCAAGTTTATGGTCAGTTCTGCCTACATAGAAACCCACACAATTGGGCAGGGTACAGTGCCTCACACCTGTAATTCCAGCAATTTGGGAGGCTGAGGCGGGCGGATCGCCTGAGGTCAGGAGTTCAAGACCAGCCTGACCAACATGGAGAAACACCTTCTCTACTAAAAATACAAAATTACCCAGGCATGGTGGCGCATGCCTGTATTTGCAGCTACTTGGGAGGCTGAGGCAGGAGAATCACTGGAACCCAAGAGGCGGAGGTTGTGGTGAGATGAGATCGCACCATTGCACTCCATCTTGGGCAACAGGAGCAAAACTCCATCTCAAAAAAAAAAAAGAAAAAGAAAAAAAGAAACCCACACAGTTCCCTAAGGAAATGCTTCTAAAATCAGTTTATGAAAACTTGAAGAGGTGTTTACTCCATCAAATTCAGACACCAATACAAAACTATATTGTGTCCATTGTCAATGCTTCTATTTGAATGTAGTGATGGAAGTATGTGGCAGAAGAATTATTCACAGAAATAAAAAAATCCAGCCAGGCATGGTGGCTCATGGCTGTAATCCCAACATTTTGGGAGGCAGAGGCGGGCAGATCATCTGAGGTCAGGAGTTTGAGACCAGCCTTGCCAACATGGTGAAACACCGTCTCTACCAAAAAAATACAAAAAAGTAGCTGGGTGTTGTGGTGAACACCTGTAATCCCAGCTACTCAGGAGGCTGAGGCAGGAGAGCCACTTGAGCCCAGGAGGCAAAGGTTGCAGTGAGTCAAAATCACACCATTGCACTTTAGCCTGGGCAAAAAGAGTGAAAGCCCCTCTCAAAAAAAAAAAAAAAAAAGTTGCTGGTTGTAAATCACACAATTTTATATTTAAAAAACCATAAACAGTACATTAAAACCTGTCTAAACTAATAAATACACTCAGTAAATTAGCAAAATATAAAATTAAACACACAAGTATATGTATGGTTTCTTACACTTAAAACAAACTATCTGATGAGGAAGAAAAAATCTTATTTAATATAGCATTAAATAAATTCCTGAGAAAAAAATTAACCAAGGAGGTAAAAAAAAGTTTACAATAACAAAATAAAAAAATTAGAAGATAAAAATTAATTTTAAAATATTTTATGTCAATGAATTAAAAGAATAAATATTATTAAAGAATCATATTATCCAAAGTGATTTACAGACTCAATAATCTTCCTATTAAAATTGCAGTGTTTTTTTTTACAATAATGGAAAATACAATTCTAAAATTTACATGAAACTAAAATAAACTTTGAATAGCCAAAGCAATCTTGAGGAAAAAGAAGAAAACAGAATATCGTACTTACAATTTCAAACTATATTTCAAGACTATATAGTAATAAAAATAGAATGGACTGTGCACAAAAATGAACAAAAAAAAATGCAACAGAAACTACTACTCTCACAAATTTCAGACCGGATACAAAAAGAAAACTAAAAAATAGTTTCAGTTTCTCAAAATTAGGAAGATATTTGTGTGTCCCCAAAACAATGAAAAAGCAGCTGGATTGTGCTGTCTCTTATATGTCATGAAGAGGACTTTGGCTCTCACTGTGAATGTGAAGGAAGCTCACTGAGAGAAAAGTAGAATTTTTAGAGAATTTAGAAGCATAAGACAATATGCCCCTTTGTGACAGCAAAATTTAAAACAACAAAAACAAAAACAAAAAACAAAAAAAACAGCTGCCCAGAAGTTCCTTTGGAACACAGCTTCCAGAATCACACCTTAAGGACTGGCTTTCTTTTTGACCTTGGACTTCTTACTGTGTTGTCTGTTGTATTCATTTTCACTCACACCTACCTGAGGGGTTGGCTACCATCTCATGTCTCTGCATAGTCGAAGGTTTTTTTCCTTGCTCCAGATGGGTGATGAGGTCTGGCTTTGAGACAACAATACCTGTTTTATCAAAAATAAATAACATGAATCTTGCTCACATTCTCCAATTACAAGCTAGTAATGTGCTCAGGAAAGATGATGTGATAAAATATTCTAGTAAATTAATAACAAAATACAAATTTGTAACAGAGATTTCTAAATATTTAGAAAATACTTCCAATTTGCCTGGTGCAGTGGCTCATGCCTGTAATCTCAGCACCTTGGGAGGCCGAGGCAGGCAGATCCTAAGGTCAGGAGTTTGAGACCAGCCTGGCCAGCATGGTGAAACCCCATCTCTACTGAAAATACAAAAATTAGCGGAGCATAGTGATGTGTGCCTGTAGTCCCACATACTCGGGAGGCTGAGGCAGGAGAAACTTGGGAGGTGGATGTTGCAGTAAGCCCAGATTGCACCACTGCACTCCAGCCTGGGGAACAGAGTGAGACTCTGTCTCAAAAAAAAAAAAAAAAGAAAAGAAAAGAAAAGAAAAGAAAAGAAAAGAAAATACTTTCAATTTGTAGGTTTCCTAATTTTACTACCTGGTACTACTGAATCAAAACTTGGTGGTGGCAAGTAGATTTTCAGGTGGAAGCTACAATATTTTAAGTCAGTAAATTTCTGGAATTACCACTAATTTAGAGTGAAGAATATAACTCACCTCAGAAATGTGGAAAGTTTGTATTAAGATGAAATATCTTGAAGAAATTTTTTTCTTTCTTTTTTTTTTTTCTTCCTTGAGACAGAATCTTGCTCTGTTGCCCAGGCTGCAGTGCAATGTCATGATCTCAACTCACTGCAACCTTCACCTCCTGAGTTCAAGTGATTCTCCTGCCTCACCCTCCTGAGTCCTGGGATTATAGGTGCATGCCACAGCCCGCAGCTAATTTTTTGTACTTTTATTAGAGTTGGGGTTTCAGCATTTTGGCCAGCTGGTCTCAAACTCCTGGCCTCAGGTAATCCCCCTGCCTCAGCCTCCCAAAGTGCTGGGATTACAGGCATGAGGCACCAAAGTAATTCTTTTCTAAATGAACAAATTCTGAAGATTTTCTTGAAAAACTGGATCTGAAACTCTTTTATAAAAAGAATAAATTACTAACATTCTACAAAAAAGAGAAATAAAACAATTTGTGTATATTATGAGTTATGTATTAAAGTTTTTCTCACCAAGAAAGACCAGGTTTCTGTAGTTCTCTAACATCACATCCCTATATAAATTCCGCTGTGCCATGTCCAGGCAATGCCACTCCTCCAGAGAGAATTCTATGGCCACATCTCTAAATTGCAATGGCCCCTGAAAAATATACACACACACATTTTCACCAAGTGGTTATGGGCGGAATTTTTAATTTGACTTAAGGTGAAATGAGAGAGTAAAGATAACTGGTTCTGACTTATAGGACTGACTAAAGTTATCCTATAAAATAATTTTCAACACAGAAATATTCTCTAAAGTATTCTCTAACTCTGAGAAAATAAAGGAACATAAGATCCACAACATCAGTTCATATATTTTTCTAGAAAATAAACTATAAAATTAAGGGCATGAACACAAACATGTACATTTTTGAGTGCTATATTTACATCATATGGAATGAGTTGTGAATATTTTTCAGATGAAAAAGGCATGTTTTAATATGTACAATAAGCTGAAGACCTTGTTATGCAGGGTTTTTTTCCAGAAGATCTGGAATAAAGTCTGATTTTTTGAATTTCTAGCAAGCTAACCAATAATGTCAATGTTTTTGGCCCAAGAAGAATATTTTGTCAAACATCCAGTAAGTGGAAGAGCCTGTGTTTTTTCCAGTTTTTCTGGCCTGTAAACAAAGATAAGAGCCTTAATTTTCCAAAGAAAAATATGTAGAAAAAAAGAAAAAAGAACAGCTGCCAGATTAAATGATTGTTTGTTCACATCAGCTGCATAATGAAACTTAATAATGAAGAGAAAAATAATTAGCTATATAGTAAAAAAAAGTCTGTCAGAGACCTATTTAAGCAAGTGAATCATTAACCATTAACTGCACTAGGACAAATTTTTATGATGTGTTAATGCATACAGAAGAATACAGCATCACTATTGAAATATTCCTTTTTAAAAAAAGCAAATAAAATCTGAATGTAATCAAAAAGAATCATCAGTTTTATGCAAACCTCAAAATACAGATACCTCCTATGTTCTGTAATTTTTAGTAGTAATATTAAGCAGGCTTCATTAACACCCTAGAAAGCAGGTATCTCCTAATAATTTTTTTCAGAATTTCTGGGTAATAAATGCCATCACATTTAAATGAGCAATTTTCTTTTTTTTTTTTTTTTTTTTGAGATTAAGTCTCACTCTTGTCCCCCAGGCTGGAGTGCAATGGCACGATCTCAGCTCACTGCAACCTCCGCCTCCTGGGTTCAAGTGGTTCTCCTCCCTCAGCCTCCCAAGTAGCTGGGATTACAGGTGCCTGCCATCACGCCAGGCTAATTGTTATATTTTTAGTAGGGACGGGGTTCCACCATGTTGGCCAGGTTGGTCTCGAATTCCTGACTTCAGGCGATCTGCCTGCCTTGACCTCCCAAAGTGCTGGGATTACAGGCATGAGCCACCACGCCCGACCTAAATAAGCAATTCCTTAATCCTGTTCAGCATACAGCTAATGGAACACATGAATGGAGCCTCAACATTATATTTTCTCCATCTTTACTAAGGACCACAGTTTTCCCCAATAGAAATCTTGAGTATCCACATCTTTCCATGTTCAACAGCCACAAACGGAACATTTTTAATATTGCAGATCATAAATTCCTGTTGATAAATCTGCATGGCGTATAAGAAGTTATGATGTAGAGAATGAAGAGAAGGCTCTGGGATACAGGGAAGAAATACTTTTCAGACACGTTTGACTATCATAAGAATTTTAAGAAGTACTTAAACCAAACTCCTTAGGGAGGAAAAACACAAGTAGAGAAGTAAAAGTTTTCAAGTACTAGATACATGGCATTCCAGGAGGCAGAGTGGACATAGCTTTTCAGCTGAGGCATGTTTACCTGAAGCCCTTTTTTTTTCTCTTTCTGATCTCCTCCTTCTCTGGAATTCCTTCTCAGATGAAGATTCTCTGGACAAATTACCCCTGCATCTTGAGAATATGCCTTTAAAGGTGTCAGTGCCACATGTTTACCAGCTAGCATGGCATCAATTGGCAGAAAAAGACAGAAAAATCCATCCATTTCTATCCTTTAAAACAGAAGAGATTCAGGAGCAATGAGCTGCTCCATGAAGATGAAAATATAAGTTTCTCCTTTCCTGTCCTCAGGTGCCCTCCCCTGCCACAGACACCAGCAATTTCTGCCACAGTAATGGAAATATGCACCACACTGACCTGTCCCTACCAAACCCAAATAGAATAGGCCCTGTGACCACCCTTTAGTGCAAAGGTGGAATTTAACTCTCATGAATGTATTTTGAAGCCTTCATACTTGATTCTGGCCTCACCTTAGAGTCACATGAGGCCCTTCATTAAAACAACGTGGATGCTTCCACCCAGAACAATAAACAGAACCTGTGGGGAGGGCACAAGAGATTTCTGCAAATTGGCCATGTGATCCTAATGAGAACCCTGGGCTGATAATCACTAAGCTAAGCATTGCCTCTCAAGCTTTAACAAGCTTATAAATCACTTGGTAATTTTGGCCCCACTTTATGTAATGTAATTCTGCAGATTTGAAAAGGGTCTATGCATGGGTGTTTTAAACAAGTCCCCTGTCAAAGCTGATGTTGCTCCCCCTTGGCGCATTATTTACATTAGTTAGAGAAGCAGGCACAGCACAGGATCCCTTACACTTAGCACTCTTGTCACAACCAAATACTTCTGGTACAAACAAGGAGAGGAAACAGAAGGCAGCAATGTCTGAATAAGTCTGTATTTTAAAAACAACATGTACACATGTACTAATGCAATGTTTATTAAACAGATACTGTGTGCTCAAGAGCATGATACAGAGCACTGTGCTGGGCATAACACATTATGTGATTTAATTCTCGTAACATCCTGGGAGCTGGTACTAAGGGTTTAATAATTTCCAGGATTTCAAAAAAGGGCCCAGAATCTCTATTTCTTCTTCTGTTCCTCTGTCATCAATTTTTTTTAAATTATAAGGAATAAAAGCTAAATATAGACAGATGAAAGAGATACAGAAAGAAAGAGGTTAATGTAGTTTAGACAAAATTTTATTCTCTTTATATTTACTTTTTTGTGACTTATGGAGCAACTACTGGATCTGCAGGAATAGAAAACAAGTGTCTAAATATAATGTCTCTGCAAACACTGGTTTTAATAGAACATTTAAAATCTAGGACCCTAAAATACATACGTTATTTATCCCATTTATCTGTTTTTGGGTTTCAAGAAATTGTGAACACCAGCTCTAGAAAGGCAACAGGATTCACCAGCCAAAACTCTGATCTCTTCTAATCAGTTCTCTGAGGAAAGACTCCAAGGTATAGTCAGACCAAAATAAGGCCTCCAAAAAGGGTGAATCTGAACAGGTCTGAGGCAGGGTGGGGACTCTATGTAGAATTCTTCCCTCTATGCCACTGCAGTACTACCAGTATTCTTTTTTCAAAGGTTACCTAAAAGAAAAACTTAAATCCCAGAATTTCTGTAATTTTAATATTTTCTAGCCACTGCCCTGTCAACTTTATGCTACATACTAATACGCAATTTAAACAAATCCTTTAAGGTTTTCTAGGGTAACTTTTTTTTTTTTAAATAGATGAAGTCTCACTCTATTGCACAGGCTGGAGTGCAGTGGTGCCATTTCAGCTCACTACAAGCTCTGCCTCCTGGGTTCAAGTGATTCTTCTACCTCAGCCTCCTGAGTAGCTGAAACTACAGATGTGTGCCACCACGCCCAGCTAATTTTTGTATTATTAGTAGAGACGGCGTTTCACCACATTGGTCAGGCTGGTCTCAAACTCCTGACCTTGTGATCCACCTGCCTTAGACCCCCAAAGTGCTGAGATTACAAGCATGAACAACCATGCCCAGCCTTTCTAGGGTAATTTTATTAGAAAATAAATATGTACACTTAGCAAGGTAAAAGAAATAGAAATTATATGGCCAGGCGTGGTGGCTCACACCTGTAATCCCAGCGCTTCAGGAGGATGACGCGGGTAGATCACAACATCAGGAGTTTGAGACCAGTCTGACCAAGATGGTGAAACCCTGTCTCTACTAAAAATGCAAAAATTGGCTGGGCATGGTGGCCAGCAACTGTAATGCCAGCTACTCAGGAGGCTGAAGCAGGAGAATCACTTGAACCAGGGTGGCAGAAGTTGCAGTGAGCCAAGATCACACCACTGTACTCCAGCCTGGGTGACACAGACTCCGTCTCAAAATAAAAATTATAATAATCCTTCTGTTCATAAATATGCCTTGAGATGTAGACATCAGAAGTCACAATATAAACAAAGTAGACTAAATAAAGCCCAAGATTTTGGACACGTGTTTATTGTACCAACCATATGATGCATAATTATTTATCCAGTTGCTAGTCTAGACTAAACATTTCTGGACTGTAGGAACCATGACTGCTTCATGGTTTTTTAATGGCTATATGAAATTGAAGCAACTAGTTTATCTGTTTGAGTCTCCAGATCTCCTCCTTCTTTATCATCCAAGTAACAGGAAACTGGAGAAACTCTCATCTGGGTAGCAACCAAAGATACCTCTTGTATGAGGGGATGAAAAAACACAGGATGACTCATTTCTCTTACACTGAGACAGAAGCAGAATTAACCACTCTTGTCAGTCTAACACAATTCTGCTCTGAACATCCTCAAATACCTCAAAGACACCTAGGTGATTTTGAGGGAATTCCCAGTGACCCTGGGCTGATGGCCCAATGATCAACCAGGCTGGAGAGACTCAGGCTGATTCTAAATAGAAAATGGAACTGCCCTGGTGGAACTCCAGAACCTGGAACACCCATTCTGATTTGCTAGCTCATGGGTAAAGGAAATAACAAAAATAACTCTTCTCCAGTATTCCACTTTACAGGTAATTATAATTGTGATCATGGCTCTGGATACTTTGTGGCCTTGATCTCTCATGCCTAAGATGCTTATTTACACTTACAAATTCTGCCATCAGATTCTATTTCCTCCTGGAGCCTCTCACATCACTGTAGCAGGTCAATGAACAAGATGTGAAAAATCTCAAAGAGCCACACTCCCAAAATGGGGCTGTAAGATGTTTAGGTTGACATCTCACAACGCAGAAAATGCCTTTTGTTAGTTTTCTGTACATTTTCTATCCAAAGTCCAGGCTTTTTTGTAAATCCCAGGCAGAGGCCAGACCTTAATTGCAGATTCTAGGTAGGATCAACCTGGCTCTGCATCCTTTGATGTTACAGCAAGTGGAATACAATCTAAGTAGAGATCCCCTCATGAAGGCTGCTCTAGCACATTCTAAATGATAAGTCTATATATATATTAAAAAAGGCTGACACAACATGAACATAAGTAGACAGTTTATTTGGGTCAAGTTTAAGGATCATAACCTGGGAGCAAAGATTCAAGTTGCCTGGAATCTACACTTTAATTAGCAGCAATTACAAGAGGATTTGTAAAGACAACAACAGAGGGACAGAGAGTGGGCTGACACAAAGTTGTTTTTCAGAAATTTTTATTTACAGAAATAGCATTGATTATTAATTAGATATATATCATAATGGTTTAGGGTATAAAATATAGTGTCCAGGCCAGGCTCAGTGGCTCAAGCCTGTAATCCCAGCACTTTGGGAGGCCGAGGTGGGCAGATCACTTGAGGTCAGAAGTTCAAGACCAGCCTGACCAACATGGAGAAATCCCATCTCTACTAAAAATACAAAATTAGCTGGTCATAGTGGCATATGTCTGTAATCCCAGCTACTGGGGAGGCTGAGACAGAAGAACTGCTTTAACCCAGGAGGCAGAGGTTGCAGGGAGCCAAGATTGTGCCATTGCACTCAGCCTGGGCAACAAGATTGAAACTCCATCTCAAAAACAAACAAACAAAAATATAGTGTCCAATGTGGCATTATTAGTGTCATTTATAGCTACTTGTGCCAATAGGGAACAGTTTCAAGAGATTAATACATAGTTAATAGGATAAAGATGTAACTGCACTTTTATTTTAATGTCTCTCTGAGTTTGATAACCAAAAGGACTTGCATTTTTCAGATAAAAGTTTTTTATTTCTCAAATCTCATGACCTGGATTCAAAATTTGAAGCTGCAGATTTATGGCCTGAATGGCTGGAGTAGCAGCAGGTATTACCTGTACGTTTGTGGGCATTTTGGCAAGAGGAGGAAGAAGAAAGTGGAGATTCTCATGTCTCTATGTCTACTCAATGCACACATGTTACTCTGATTGGGTTTCTGGGCTCCATATTCTCTGAATCAGTTTCAGTCTGAAGATACAAGAGTCAGTGAAAGAGGTAAAATGATTGATTGCTGCCCGTGAAGTTTGTAGAAATTTGATCTAGCCTCTCTAGAAGTGATTGTAGAGAACTCTAGATACCAAATAGGCAGAGACACAATTCTGCCTGCATATTTAGGGGACAGCGTGCACTTTGCTGCACAAGTATAAGTTGACTGGAAGCCTGAGAGGGAAAGTCCCCTCTAGAGTAAATTCTGGTTGGCACCTTATGTGTTTATATCACATCTGGTAATTCTAGACAGTGTTTGGAAACAATAATTAAAAGAAAAATTGGGCTGGGAGTAGTGACTCACACCTGTAATCCCAGGACTAGGACTCTGGGAGGCTGAGGTGGGCAGATCAACTGAGGTCAGGAGTTTGAGACCAGCTTAGCCAACACAGTGAAACCCCATCTTTACTAACAACATGAAAATGAGCCCAGCACAGTGGCAGGTGCCTGTAATCCCAGCTACTCAGGAGGCTGAGGCAGGAGAGTCACTTGAACCCGGGAGCTGTAGGTTGCAGTGAGCTGAGATCATGCCACTACACTCAGCCTTGGTGACAGAGTGAGACCTCTATCTCAAAAAACAAACAAACAAACAAACAAAAACAGAAAAAGAAGAAAAATTTTCTCCAGCCCCAGAGAAGCTCCAGCCCCAGAAAAAGAAAATGGTTTCTTCAGCCCCAGAGAAAGAAAATGGCTTTCTTATAAAATTAAACTTGAAAGTGACATACATCATGGTCAATATGTTTAACAGAATACAAAGATGGAAAGATGGTCACCATAATTAGTCCACAAGTAGAAGAATTTATAGCACCATGTCACACATAGTTCATCCTAAAATCACCTGGAGATGGAATAGGGCATCTGGGTATGCTAAATGCTTATATCCAATGACAAATAAACTTTCCACATCTTCAGAACAGGAGGTAGTTTAGCAGCTTGAAGCCCAGTGGCTGCTGAAGGTAGGCTTTCACTCTGCTACAAAAATGGTTGAATAGGATTCTCTCTTTGGCTATTTACATTTTAGAGCAGTGGCTCTGTACTCCCTGGCACTGGGCTACAGCACTCCTGCTTGCTTTCCCCTGGTTGCTGGTCTCCTCTCTTGACCTCTACTATCTGCCACTGAGGCACAGCCCAGAGCACAGCTCACATTTTATGTGAACTACATTTGCCACAGCAACACTCTAATGTCACAACAGAGAGTGAGGCCTGAGCTGCAGGAGGAGAGCCTGCAGGCCTCCTGGGTAGAATCATATCTTCACAATAATGAAACTGGGAGCAGTGTTTCAGCCTCACTTTCTACTTATAATGGTGACATGGAAAAAATATTGAATTTCCAACATGAGTCCAGATAGAGATAACATCAGAAGTTTTCACTGTGACAACCCACCTCATTCAGACACCACGGGATACTAGTAAGGCTTCTGAAACAGACAAAGCATTGGAGAGAAAAACAGATCTCCCTCTGAGCAAGATAATTTTGAGAGAAGGAAGTTAAAAAGATCTTAAGAAAAAGGTCAGATTAGATATAAGATTGTTAAGTCAGCCAGAAAATATTCTCCTAAAATAAATTTCTCTCGAAACACTCAAAGTGTATAGCTACTCTCACCATGAGAAACATGAGCATTAGGAGGGTGCAGATTTTCAGAAAGAATAATTTTATAAAGTTTCTTTTCCATCTCTGCTGCTGTCTCATCTTCTAGCCATTGAATGGGGGTTCTATATTGAAATACATCTGACAACTTCAAACAACACTTTTTGATGAAGAAATAGAATCTGATTGTGTTCGTATAGTGGAATATATTAGAACTTGCAACATAGCTAACTGAAGAGGTATTATGGTGTTGGGGTGGCCACATCACCTGTCTTTATCTGTCCTGTAATAGGAACATACCAATTTAGTGAAATAAAAGATACCTAAATTGTGTTTACTCATTGTTATTCCTATTGAATAAAGTAATAAATATGTCAGACAAATATCTACTGTAATAATTTGGTAGTAAATTTTCTCTGGCTATTAGATATAAATATCTAAGTATGAATAATTTTAATGAACGTCATAGTATATGTACCATTTTTAAAAACTGTAACTATACTTCAGTTAAAACACTTTATATTTCAAAAGTATAAATTACAATATTAAAATAACCATTTAAGTGATTCAAAGTAAGTATTGTGGCTTTATATTCATAATATTGTAGAAAATACTGCTTATGGCTCACCCCTGTAATCCCAGCAACTTGAGGCTGAGATGGGTAGATCACTTGAGGTCAGGAGTTCAAGATCAAGCTGGACAACATGGTGAGACCCTATCTTTACTAAAAATACAAAAACTTAGCCAGGCATGGTGGTGTGCACTTGTAATCCCAGCTACTCAGGAGGCTGAGGCAGGAGAATCACTTGAATCTGGGAGGCAGCAGTTGCAGTCAGCTGAGATCACGCCACTGCACTCCAGCCTGGGAAACAGAGTGAGAGTCTGTCTCAAAAAAGAGGAAACACTGTTTAATTTATATGAATGCAGTTTGTCTACAAACACTAAACATAACTATGCTAATTGTTCTGAAGTAATAAATAGAAAACAAGGTACAACTACAGATTCCACTGTTGAGTTCATGCATTGAACTGTTCTTGCATTTGCAGTATTAGTACTTCAGCCTGCAAATATTGGATAATTACCTTGGATAATCAGGTTTCTGTCAAAGAAACTTAGTATCTTTTAGTCTTTATCATTCTGTATTGCTAAATTTAATTTTATCTTTGTGCTATGCTTCTGTGTGCTCTTAAATGAGTTTTAACTAAACAAATCTGTGTCTACCTTAAAGGACTAAAAATGAAAAAAATAAACTTTTCAGAAGCAAAAACAAAGCAATAAATCTGAAGTACCAGATAAAGATAATCTGGAGTCATAAAAAATGAAAAAGGTTTATTTAGCTGTTAATATGATTTACATATATTTCAAAAAAGCAGAGAAAAATATCTACATATAATCTAAATCCCTTAAGAACAGACAGAATAGCAAAATTTGTTTTGGAACTTTTTAAATAGTTTTGAACTCTTGGACATCTGAATTTTTCACACTGTATGCACTTCAAAGAATGTTTATGGGGAAAAAGGAGAAGAGAGAAAGATGTTATAAAAAATCCACGAGTGCACAAGACCAATGCAACAGAATAGAGAGCCCAGAAATAATGCCACCCTCCTATAACCATCAGATTTTTGACAAAGCTGACAAGAGGAATGCAGCAAGAATTCTCTATTTAACAAATGGTGCTAAAATAACTACCTAGCACTATGTAGAAGACTGAAACTAGATCCCTTCATTACACCATATACAAAAATCAACTCAAGATAAATTAAACACTTAAATGTAAACTTAAAATTATAAGAAAATCTGCACGATAACCTAAGAAACACCATTCTAGACACAGAAACTGGCAAAGACTTCATGATGAAGCTACCAAAAGCAATTGCAACAAAAGCAAAAATTGACAAATGGAACTTCTTCACAGCAAAGGAAACTATCAACAGAGGAAAAAGACAACCTACAGAATGAAAGAAAATATTTGCAAACTTTGCCTCTGACAAAGGTCTAATATCCAGAATTTATTAAAAACTTATACAAGTTTAAAAGAAAAAACCAAACAACTTCATTAAATTGTAGGCAAAAACACAGATTCTTTTCAAAAGAAGATATACATGTGGCTAACAAGCATATGAAAAAAATGCTCATTACTAATCACTAGAGAAATTAAAAGAAAAACCACAATGAGATACCACCTCACACCAGTCAGAATGGCTATTTTTAAAAAGTCAAAAAATAACAGATGCTGGCAAGGTTGCAGAGAAAACAGAATGCTTATACTCTTCTGGTGGGAGTGTAAATTAGTTTAACAATTGTAAAAAGCAGTGTGGCGGTTCCTCACAGAACTAATAACAGAATTATCATTTGACCCAGAAATCTCAAAATTGGGTATATACCCAAGGAAATATAAATTATTATATTATAAAGACACATCCACATGCATGTTCACTGCAGCACTATTCACAATAGCAAAGACAAGGACAGGCCCTAAATGCCTATCAATGGTAGACTGGGTAAAGAAAATATGGTATGGTCAGAAGCGGTGGCCCATGCCTGTAATTCCAGCACTTTGGGAGGCCAAGGCAGGTGAACTGCCTGAACTTAGAAGTTTGAGAACAGCCTGGGCAACATGGCAAAATCCTGTCTCCACGGAAAATACAAAAAGAAAATTTGGCCAGGTGTGGTAACGCCCAGGTGTAGTCCTAGCTTCTTGGGAAGATGAGGTAGGAGAGAATTGCTTTAGCCTGGGAGGTTGAGGTTAAAGTAAGCCAATATCACGCCATGGCACTCTGGCCTGGGCAATAAGTGAGACTCTGTCTCCAACTATAAAATAAAATAAAAGATTTAGTCAAAACAAAATATGGTACGTAAACATCATGGAATACTCTGTGGCCATTAAAAAAAAATCACGTCCTTTGCAATAACATCAATGAAGCTGGACACTATTTTTCTTAGAAAACAAATGCAGAGGCCTGGCGCAGTGCTCACACCTGTAATCCCAGCGCTTTGGGAGGCCGAGGTGGGTTGATCACTTGAGGTTAGGAGTTGGAGACCAGCCTGCCCAACATGGAGAAACTCCATCTCTATTAAAAATACAAAATTAGCTGGGCATGGTGGAATGCACCTGTAATCCCAGCTACTCATGAGGCTGAGGCAGGAGAATCACTTGAACCGGGAGGTGGAAGTTGAGGTGAGCCTACATCACACCATTGCACTCCAGCCTGGGCAACAAGAGTAAAACTCCGTCTCCAAAAAAAAAAAAGATAAAATAATGCAGAAACAGAAAACCAAATGAATGTACTATCATTTATAAGTAAGAGCTAAATAATAAGAACACACGAACACAAAGAGGAGAACAACAGACACTGAGGCCTAGTTGAGGGTGGAGGGTGGGAGAACTCAGAGGATCAGAAAACATACCTGTTTGGTGCTATGCTTAGTACGTAAGTTAACAAAATAATCTGCACACAAAACCCCCATGACATAATTTTACCTGTAAAAGAAACCCACGTGTACCCCGAATCAAAAATAAAAGCTAAAATAAAAAATTAAATCCCTGGGCAGGAGAGAGTGCAATGCAGGTGAGAGGACTGATTTTTGCTGCAGATAGTGGTCCCAATGCAGCCATACTCTGATTTATTACTGTGTGCAGGCAGATGAGATTATGAACAGCTGATCCAAAATGGTAGGTTGGTGGAGAAAACTGGTTGCTGCTGCAGATTTAGCATCTGTGGATGGGGATATGCCAGGAGACTTGCAGAGACTTGTGGGTTCTTGGCAAGAAACACTAGGGTCAAAAATGCTGTGGTGAAGTTTCTGAGGGTGGTGCCTAGTCCTGGGAGGAGTGTGGACGTGTCAATGTCTAGTGTGTGTGTTTGTGAGTGGGTGGGAATCTTGTGGTGGCAGCTGTGGGAAAAGGGGGTCTGTAATCAGAGCTCCTGTCCTCTAAGTTTTCAGTCCTCTGTCACCCTGGGAGAAGACCTGAATCACAGGACAATGGGCAGTGTGACAGCCTGTGTATGGGAAAGCAGAGCTCCCATTCCCAAACACCTAGTTTTATTCCAGGCCAGGCCTCTGTGATATCTTTTTTCTGGCACCAAATCTGTAGAGTTAGCTGAACATTAAACAATTCTCCAACACCAACTTATTGTCTAACATTTGAATTCTGACACCACCCAGAGTCAACACAGACCCTGATTCAGGGCTTGGTCCTACAACACTGTCCTCACTGCAGATGCCAGTCAAAAACCCCATGGGCCCATCTATGCTTCTGAGCTACTGTTTAAAAACTTGTTAGTCCCATAACCTCTCTGAATTTTAATAATCTGGTAGAGCTACTCACAGAACTTAGCAAAACACTGTAGTTATGTTTACCAGTTTAATATGTGAGACGCAGCCCAGGAAAAGCCAAATGGGAGAAATGCATAGAACAAAGAAAAGAAATGGGGAAAGATGAAACACATAGATAATACTGGAAAATGTTTGTGATTAATAAAATTCTCCATTCTTTGTGTGCTCCAGGAACAATTTATGCAAACAAACACTCTTCCCATTATGACTAAGATAGTGCTCTCTTTTCTTACCTATCACACAGGCAGACACACGCTCTGCACATTTTCTCCTTTTTCTCATTAAAAAAACAGCTGAATTTGTCTTCAGTGCTCAAAATAATTTCTTCACTTTGTCACCCAGGCTGGAGTGCAGTGATGCGATCTTGGCTAACAGCAACCTCCACCTCCTGGGTTCAAGCAATTATCCTGCCTCAGCCTCCCAAGTAGCTGGGATTACAGGTGCCCATCACCACACCTGGCGAATTTTTGTTGTTTTGGTGTTTTTTTTTTTTTTTTGAGACAGAGTTTCACTCTCGTTGCCCAGGCTGGAGTGCACTGGTGCAATCTCAGCTCAGTACAACATTTACCTCCCGAGTTCAAGCGATTCTCCTGCCTCAGCCTCCCGAGTAGATGGGATTACAGGCATGCACCACCACACCTGTTGATTTTTTTTTTTTTTTTGTAGTGATGGGATTTCTCCATGTTGGTCAGGCTGGTCTTAAACTCCCAACCTCAGGTGATCCGCCCACCTCAGCCTTCCAGTAATTTTTGTATTTTTAGTAGAGACAGGATTTCATCATGTTGGCCAGGCTGGTCTCAAACACCTGTCCTCAGGTGATCCGACTGCCTCAGACTCCCAAAGTGTTGAGATCACAGGCATGAGCCACTGGGCCCGGACTAAAATAAAATATTTCTTAATCATACTTTTCTTAAGTTTATTTCCCTCCCTCAGGCTCCTGAACTTTGAGCTACCCTCAGTCTGAGTCAACATACAACCCCATTTTACATTCCTCCTAAGAACATGCTGATTTCAGGGTAAGACATCCTCTGATCTAAAATCTGACTTTTTCACTCTCCATTTGCCATTCACCTCCCACCTCCTTTCTTATCTTGTTTACCTCTCCCTAAAAAAGAAAGCCCTTTTCTGCCTACATCTTTGCAAGCCATAAAGATCTTATATTTAGTTGGTACTTTCTCCTGTTGCAATAATTTTTTGGAATTCATTTTTTTTTTACATAAATCTAATGTTTTTATTTTACAAAGTACAGAAAGTGCCACAAAACATAACGACTGCATCATCAGTAAGACCCTCTCAGTTTCCTTTCATCTTAACCTCAACTGCATCTGCCTGTGGGACCCCAGCTTTCCAGGGCTCTGTAGCTTCTCTCAGGATAAAGGCTCCTTCTATGGCTGGGGTGAGCAGGCTGGACACCTGCACGGGAGGCTCCCCAGAAAAAACTAACTGAGTCTTCAATATCCAGTTGCAGGCTTAATTATTAGCCTTAGCTTGGAGTCACTAGGTTCAAGCTTTAATTTCCATGTCAGAATTACTCACTTAGTTTTTGAAACTATGTGTTTGAAAAATCCAGGGAAATTACTCAAACGCAGTGTTTACATAAGGGAAGGAAATTTTAAGGTTCTTACTTTTTTTTTTTTTTTTTTGAGACGAAGTCTCACTCTGTGGCCCAGGCTGGAGTTCAGTGGCATGATCTCGGCTCACTGCAACCTCCACCTCCCGGGTTCAAGACATTCTTGTTCCTCAGCCTCCCAAGTAGCTGGGAATACAGGCATATGCCACCACACCTGGCTAACTTTTGTATTTTTAGTAGAGATGAGTTTCACCATGTTGGGCAGGCTGGTCTCAAATTCCTGACCTCAAGTAATCAACCTGTCTAGGCCTCCCAAAGTGCTGAAACTACAGGCATGAGCCACTGCACCTGGCTAAGATGCTTGCATTTTATACCCCTATAAGAAAAGCATATATATCTACTTCTTTCAGACAATGTATGTATTATTTTATTATTTATCTTAAAAATAATGCAGTAGGCCGGGCACTGTGGCTCACGCCTCTAATCCCAACACTTTGGAAGGCCAAGGTGGGTAGATCACGAGGTCAGAAGATTGAGAACATTTTGGCCAACATGGTGAAACCCTGTCTCTACTAAAAACACAAAAAAATTGGCTGGACGTGGTGACACACACCTGTAATCCCAGCTACTTGGGAGGCTGAGGCAGGAGAACTGCTTGAACCTGGGAGGCAGAGGTTGCGTGAGCCGAGATCACGCCACTGCACTCCAACCTGGTGACGGAGTGAGACTCTGTTTCAAAAAAATAAGTAAATAAATAAAATAATGTAGTAAAAAATTAGTCATATGGGAACACTTCTAGAAGGTACCATGTTTCATCACTTAAAATTTAGCATTTAACTCAGAAATCAAAATAAAAGGATATAGAAAAAATTTACCCTGCAAAAAGAGGAACTAATGTGTTGATGAATCCATGTAACTCCTCAATTATCTACCACATTTTCCTGTGGAAATATATTCATTGTCTACAGCCAAAATGGAAGAGAGATTTTCCCTATATTTTTCCTTGGTAACTAGCATTCCTGGCAAACATGGTGAAACCTCATCTCTACTAAAAATATGAAAACTAGCTGGGAGTGGTGGCGCTTGCCTGTAGTCCCAACTACTGGAGAGGCTGAAGCAGGAGAATCGCTTGAACCCATGAGGTGGAGGTTGCAGTGAGCCAAGATCTGACACTGCACTCTAGCCTGGCGACAGAGCAAGACTCCGTCTCAAAAAATAATAATAATAATAATAATTAATTGAGGAACATGGGGGACACTTGAGGCCCTGCTTGGGACACATGTGAAAAATGCCAGGGAAAGTCAGTCCCCTGTGGGATGTGAAAATAATTAAGTGGCAGGCAATTAGACTGAAGAGGCTCTAGTCCCCGGATTTCTATTTCTAAAAAAAAAAAAAAAAAAAAATCTAAGCTCAAGTGCATTTTTTGGCAAATTACTACATTAGGGGAAACAAAATTCAGGCTTCAGCAACTATAAACTGCCAATTAAGCTCTAATTACATAACCAGGAAATTTCCACCTTGATTGTACAAATTAAGAAACTACATTACTAAACCTAACAAATTATTGAATTTGGTTTTCCTCATCATGCATTTTATAAATGTCTTTTCTTCAAGCCTCTCCCATGGACCACAAACTACAAACTATAGCTGGGTGCTCTACAATTCTTGAATCACTCTTTGATTAAATTGTTTGATATTTTTGCAGTGACTCCCATAATTTTTTTTTTTTTTTTTTTTTTTTAGACAAGAGTCTTGCTCTGTCGCCCAGGCTGGAGTGCAGTGGCAGGATTTCAGCTCACTGCAACCTCCGCCTCCCGGGTTCAAGCGATTCTCTCACTTCTGCCTCCCGAGAAGCTGGGACTACAGACATTCGCCAACATATCCACCTAATTTTTGTATTTTTAGTAGACAAGGGGTTTCCCCATTTTGGTCAGTCTGGTCTTCAACTCCTGACCTCAAGTGATCCGCCCGCCTCGGCCTCCCAACGTGCGGGGATTACAGGCTTGAACGACCGCGCCCGGCCCCATACAATTTTAATAGCAGAAAAGAGAAACTGTGAACCCCACAGACCAAAGCTCTTCCCATTCATGAACCCGCACCGCGAGTCAGCATTCTCCCCTGAAGACCCTCCGGTGGTCCCTGCACAATCTGGGAGAGACACGGCACTGCGGGTGCAGAGCTGCCCACAGAGCGCTCCAGGCCAGGGGCACAGTCACTGCGCGGGGAAGCGACAGGACGCCCGGGGGCCAGGCTGTCAGCGTAGCCGCCATCTTATGGCTGAATGGGACTGAGGCAGAGCTGGGTAAGGAGAATTCGGGGTGCAGATTGTGGAGCTGACTGAGGGGAGGCCTGAGTCCCGCCACAGACACTTCACCTCTCTCGGGATGCTGGACCGGCACTCTCACCATTTCTAGGCTTCCAGGGGGTCCTGGCGTCTTAGCTGTGGATCTCCCAATACCTGCAGGACACAGGGCCACAGAGGCTGGGCCTCTAGGAGAAGAAGACAGAGAGCAGTGAACAGACGACCTGGAGCTCCAGCTGCAGGGAGAGACAAAGACCCCGCCAAATCCGGAAGCCGTCCTGTTCATTCCAGCTGCGTGCCTGATTGGACGGTTTCCAGCCCAGCGCCTCTGATTGGCTAATGCTTAAGGTCCCGCCCCCTCAGACACTGAGTGACAGAAGATGTGATCAGCTGCTGGGCGGAGTGAAGAAAAGAGTGACAGCCTAAGCTGCAGCCTTTTCAGGCAGGGCTTCCTCCCAGAGCTGAGCCTGGTCCATGCCAGAGCATGGGAACATTTTATCTCTTTTTTACTCTCTGTCTTGTTGAATGTATTCAAAGGTGAACAGAAGTATTTTGCTGTCATATTAATAATACATAAAATTTTTGTTCAAGAGAAAATCAGCTTTTACTTTGGTAATAGTGTATTAACGATTAAAGCTAATTTTAATAAAACCTTATAAATAAATCAAATTTGTCATTTTTGACCACTCCAGATTTACATATATATTTTGTAATCCCTGTAATTTTTTTATCTATTTATATTTTATTTTTATCCACATTCTTCTTATTTTTTCAACTTGAAACAACCTTTAAGTAATTTCAAACTGCTATAAGAGATAGAAATAATTTAGGGTCAGGCACAGGTAGCTCATGCCAGTAATCCCAACACTTTGGGAGGCCAAGGTGGGTGGATCACTTGAGGTCAGGAGTTCAAGACTAGCCTGGCCAACATGGTGAAACCCCATCTCTACTCACAATGTAAAAAATTAGCTGGGTATGGTGGTGCACATCTGTGGTCCCAGCTACTCCGGAGGCTGAGGCAGGAGAATCACTTGAACCCAGGAGGTGGAGGTTATGTAACAGCCCAAGGGGTTCATTTTGCCCTTTGCCTAGACAGAGCCAATTCATGAAGACAGGAGAATTTATGGAGGAAAAGTTAAATGTTAAATTTGAACTCAATTGAACGTGGACACAATGGTCACCAAGTCCCAGAACAGGTCCTGGTTGTGAGCCCCTGAGGTGTTCATCCAGAGCTGTATCAAAGAAATGTCTATTTCATTCTATTACTATACATTAGTTGTTGAAAAACAATAGACAATCACAAAAACAACTTGACCCTTTTGTGTTCCGTGAGGCAAGTCCCAAATGGCCCTCCTCACTGGGCCTTATGCCAAACAACTCGTTACAAAAGAGCTAGGGTCCCAGACCACCCTGAAGCTTCATGAGACTCCTTGTCTGTGCATGAATGGGTGGCCGACTCTGGAGCCTGGGCTGTTTCTTCCTACTCAGTTGGTAATCCTCCATAGTCTAGTGAGGGTAAATATATATATATATCTTTTCCCATCTCCTCTTCTTACTGCAATTTGCTTATTATATCAATCTGTGTATTATATTTATTTGCTTATTATATCATTTGCTTATTATATCATTAGTTTATTCTGTCTGCATTGATATTGATGTGGGTTAAAGCTTGTTTACCATTAAAGTTATTGTATGTATGTCTTTTCTTCTCCTCTCCCACGTTTCCCATACAGAACATTTTTGGCATCACAAACAGGATTTGAAAACAAAAGTGGGCCCCTTTTTGACCAGAAGGATAGGGCTGGAGGCTCAAGGATTTCCCATATCCTGAGATGGGATCACTCCCAGTTCTCCTTCTTTGTGATTGAATGGTTCAGGGGAACTGGCCTTTGTGGGAATTGGGAATCTAAATTAGTGCAATTTAAACCTTTGACTGTGCGTGAAGTGCTGCAGGGGATTCCAGTCACCAAAGGAGATGCTGAGGGAATCTCACAAAGTGGATAGTGTTTGATTGCTGCTTATAAGTTAATGTGTCAAGATAGGGGCTGGTTGCTACAAGAGAAATATAAGCTGGAAAAGGAAAATGCTAATCTGACTTCCGGACTGGCCCTGGCCCAATGCCAGTCAATGTCTTGACTGATCAGGCTCAAAGCTATCAGCCTATTGCTGAAAAAAGCAGCTGTCCAGGTGGCCCAATCAGGGTAAAACTGAAGAACTAGTCAGCCGGGGCTTAGAGCATGTAAAAACCCAGTTCCTATCTCAAAAATGGGAAATTAAGCCTAGTAAAATTAAGGATCCGCACAAAGTGTAAAATTCTTTGGCATCCTATGGAATGCAAAGAAACAGTCCACTTCACCAAAGGCTAAGGCTAAAATACTATAATTTGCAACCCCTACCACTAAGAAGGAGGCCCAGAAATGTATTGACTTGTTTGGATTCTGAACACATCATATTCCTTACTTGGGTAACATTTTACAACATCTGAATGCAGCCACTAGAAAAAGGTATGACTCTCACTGTGGAGAGAAAGACAGCATGGCTTTTGAACAAGCTAAACAAGCAGTGCAACTGGCCCTGGATCTATGGCCTATATGGGATGGGCCTGATGAACTGCGAGTAACTGTCGTAGATCAACATGCTAATTGGAGCCTTAGGCAGAAACAAGATGGAAAGAGGGTACTTTTCATGTTTTGGACCCAGAAACTGCCAGAGGCTGGAAAAGCTTATTCCTCTTTTGAGAAGCAATTGTTAGCTTGCTATTGAGCTTTGCTGGAAATGGAACACCTCTGCTTCAACCACGATGTCTTTATGAGGCCTGAAATTTCTATTATGACTTTGGTCATGAGTTCCCCCAAAACCCACCAGATAGGGCATGCCCAGAAAGTAGCATCATAAAATGGAAATGGGACATACAAAACCAGGCTAAGCCAAAATCATAGGGGCTATCACTTTTACATGAGGATGTGGAAAACCTGCGAGCTCAGGAAACAACCAAGCAAGTCCTGCAGATAGGGAAAGAAACACCCCCCACACACACACATCAAATGGGGCAAATCCTTTAAAGAACTAAGCCCAGAGGATCAGAAACATGCTTGGTTTACTGATGGATCCACCAAATACTTTGGTGGGACCCAATGCTGGAGGGCTGTGGCTTATAATCCTGTTAAAAACATAAGCATTTCTGATGAAGGAAGGGGTGGGAGCAGCCAGTTAGCTGAACTAGTAGTCGTTTCTCCGAGCTATTCAGGAGGAGGCCAGAGGGATTTGTTACTTTTATATCAACTCTTTGTCAGTAGCAAATGGTCTTACTACCTGGGTGCCCAAGTGGCAATGAAACAAATGGTTAATGCGGAATAAAGAGGTTTGGGGAAAACAATATTGGTAAGGTATCTGAATCCTGGTGCATACTCCCATCGTCACTGTGTTCCATGTTTTTTTGTTGTTGTTTTTTGTTTTTGAGATGGAATCCAGCCCTGTCACCAAATTGAAGTGCAGTGGTGCAATCTCAGCTCACTGCCACCTCCATCTCCACGGTTCAAGTGATTCTTCTGGCCTCTGCCTCCCAAGTAGCTTGGATTACAGGCACAGGCTGCCACGCCCAGCTAATTTTGTATTATTTTTTATTTATTCATTTTTTAGATGCAGTCTCACTCTTTCATTAGGCTGGAGTGCAGTGGCACAATCTGGGTTCACCACAACCTTCATGTCCCAGGTTCAAGCAATTCTCCTGCCTCAGCCTCCCGAGTAGCTGGGACTACAGGCACACACCACCATACCCAGCTAATTTTTGTATTTTTAGTAGAGATGAGGTTTCACCATGTTAAACAGGATGGTCTCCATCTCTTGACCTCCTGATCAGCAGGCCTTGGCCTCCCAAAGTGCTGGGATTAGAGGTATGAGCCACCATGCTCAGTTTATTTTTGTAATTTTAGAGACGGGGTTTTGCCATGTTGGCCAGGATGGTCCCAATCTCTTGACCTTGTGATCTGCCCACCTCAGCCTCCCAAAATGCTGGGATTACAGGTGTGAGTCACTGTGCCTGGCCCTGTTTTCCATGTTGATGCTAGTGTGTCTCTGCTTCCTCTTGACAGACTATTTAATCAGCAGGAAGATCAACAGGCAAAAATTTCCACCATAACTGTGATCTTGAATGTGGGTAAATGGATTACAACATGTTCAAGCCTTGCAATGAGAAGCATAATAATGTATGGTGGAATAATTGATAGTGATTACCGGGGAGAGTTAAAGGACATTTTATACAATACCTCTCCAGATTCTTTTGCTATAAAACCACAGATGCTGGTTGCTCAATTGTTAGTGGTACCTTGTCCACAATTAACCCCTGAGGAAATCTTTGCCCAACAGAGGCTACATACAGAACTTGGGGATTCAGATCCCCTGGTACAGGAAGCTTAAATCCTGGAGCCAAAATATGGGTACAGCGTCCATCAGATCCCAACCCTAAGGCTGGTGACCTTGTAGCTATGAAAGCAGAAAATGAAGGCATAGTACAATTTCCTAAAGATGAAAAACAATATGATGTTCCCCTCTGTTTTTGTTATTACAGGGAATAACCTATCTACTAATGGTCAGCACCTGTGTCTTTGTGTCTGAGGCCAAGAATAAATTCATCAACTTTTTAGCCACTGCTGCAACAGAAGCCAACTGCAATCAATGTTGGCTATACGTGGAGTTGCTAGAGGCCGCCAAAAATGGTCTACCTTGGAGAATCATCCCTGACAACATTTCTGAATGGCTATGTTGTTACCAATGGGGCTGCAACAACAGCACTTGCAATCCAACCTGGACTTCATTTGACCACACTAAAAAATCAATCTTTGCCAAGTCAGACAAAAGATGAACTCCACCCTCACCTTGCATTGAAAGCCTTGGTATTCTGCCCAATGTTCCTGGAATGGTATATACTACGAACCTTCTGTGCTGGTGGCTGGATTCCATATAGCCCCTGCTTTGTCTAGAGGCCTTAAATGGCTCCTCTAATGTTACTCTGGGGTTTCTCCACTCAATTGTCAACACATACTCCAAATCAACAACATTGCACCCAATGAACAACAATCTCTTTCCTATTTTAATAAGAGATTAGTACACTATGATTACAGTAGCTCCATTGCTGTCCCCTGGGGGGCCCTCTGGGTATGCAGATCCTATCGGTGGTGATACTGCCCCCACTTTGGATGGGGAGATGCACTTGGGGGTGACCATTAATTCTATTCACCATCCAGGATAATATTCCCCTCCCCAGTAATCTAGATGCTTACAAACATCGCTGGTTACAAATGTGCTGGACTCCCTGGTGGTGGTACCCTATCACAGTATTCTCCCCTGCCACTGGTACAATCTTGCTTCACCAACAAATTATAATATTTAGCTTACATGTAGAAAAAGCTCTTAATGATAGTAGCACTGGGCTTATGTTGTTATCAGATGAATTTGCTCAGCTGCGTATTGTTGTGTTGCAAAATCAAATGGCATTAGATATGCTTACCACAGCCCAAGGAGGGGTTTGCGCCTTACTGCATACTAAATGTTGTGTGTATATTCCTGGCAAGTCTCACAATATTACTCTGCTTGCAACGCCATGTGGGGTTTAATTTTTATTAATTGTGCCTTTAATTCTCCTGTGCTTACCCTGTATCTGTAATATATATCAACTATGCCTTCCCGATGTATCCGTAAGGGTATTTTAATACAATTGAATATCCAATTGAGGCCGAATGTACTGGAAAAGTTAAATATTAAATTTGAACTCAATTGAACGTGGACAAAAATAATGGTCACCAAGTCTCAGAGCAGGTTGTGTGAGCCCCTTTAGGCATTCATCCGGCGCTGTTTCAGAGAAATTTCTGTTTCAATCTATTCCTATACGTTAGTTACTGAAAAACAATAGCCAATCACAAAAACACGTTAACCTTTTTACAGGTGTGAGCCACCATGCCTGGCCTTGGATGAGGTTTTTGTGGGTACTTTTTTGTTGTTGATGCTGTTGTTCCTTTCTGTTTGTTTGTTTTTCTTTCAATGGTCAGGTACATCTTCTGTAGGGCTTCTGCAGTTTGAGGGGGGTTCACTTCAGGCCCTATTAATCTGGTTCACTCCCATGCCTGGAGATGTCACTCAAGGAGGTTGGAGAAAAGCAGAGTCTGCTCCTTCCTCTGTGATCTCTGATCTCAAGAGGCACCAACCTGATGCCATTAAGATGGCTCCTGTATAGGGTGTCTGACAACCCCTGTTGAAGTGTCACCAGTTGGGTGGCATGGGGAGCAGAACCCATTTAATGAAGCACTTTGACTGTTCCTTGGTGGAGGGGGGTGTTTTGCTGGGGGGAAACCCACTCATCTGGGCTGCTCAAATTCCTCAGAACTAGCAGGAGGAAAGGCTAAGTCTGCTGGTCCACAGAGACTGCAGCCACCCCTCCCCCTAGGGGCTCAGGCCCAGGGAGATCAGAGTTATGTCCCTGAGCCCCTGGCTGGAGATGTTGGAGTTCCTGCAGGGAGGCCCTGACCAGTGAGGAGAGATGGGTCAGCGTCAGGCCTGAAGAGACATTCTGGCCACAGTCTGCCACAGCCCATGTGTTGGGCTGTGGGGGACACCTCTTGAGACCAAGCTGTCCAGTTTTCCTGGATCTAGCAGAGGAAAAGTGAGGCCAGGAGCTATAGAGATGGCTGCTTCCCTTTCCCCATCCAGGGATCTTAGCCTGTTAGGCAGTTTCGAGTCCCAGTGCTGGCTGCTGTCCCTCCCTCAAGGAGCTCAAACAGCTTAGACAGCAGCCAACTGCAACGGTGGTGCTGGTCTCCCCCACCGTGGGAACTCGGCAGGCTTAAGCAGATTCTACCTGACAGGCTGTTCATAATCTGCTCAGCTCCAGGGTTGTGTCAGGCATAATAAGTTCCTCTTCAAAGGGTAACTTCCTTGTTGTTTGTTCTCAAAATCAACTTCCTTATACCTTCCCGCTCCTAGCTACCTGCTCTGTAAACATCTCTTCTCCCCAGTCGCAATCCGTAACCCACATCTCTTCCTTATTTGGAAGAAGTCCTCCTCACTCCTAGTTACCTGCTCTGTAAACAACCTTCCTGCCAGTCTCGATTTAAAATAGCCATCGAGTTAGCTTAGATTGTGTGGTCTGACTCCAGCCAATGGGGGCAGCACACAGAAGTAGGGACTGTGTTAGGGATAAAAACTCCTTCCCTCTCTTGTATGCTGTGCTCTCAAAACAGCCAGAGACATGACTGGCACCCTTCTGCAGAAGTAAATGTGCCTTGCCTTGCTGAGAAATTCCTTGTTTCAGTGCCCATGTTCTTTGCGACTCTGAGCTCTTGCTTCCAACAGTTGGGACCTTAGGTTCCAGTGGTGTGGGTTCATGAGTGGAATCTTCTAATCCGTGGGTTGCATAGTTCCATGGAAAAAGCAGTTTCCCAGGCTGGGTAGCATGCTCACTCACTGCATCCCTTGGCTGTGGGGTGGGGGCTCCCCAGGCCCATGTGGGTGTCAGGTGGGCTGCCACACCACACTGCTCTTCCTTCCTCTCCATGGATCACGCCAGCCACCTAGTCAGTTCTGATGAAAGAACATGGATACCTCAGGTTATGGTACAGCATTCACACACTGTTATGGTTCTTTTCTATGGGATGCCGCTTCTAATCAGCCATCTTGGCCCTGCCCCTGTAGCAGGATGAGCCACAGACAAAACTCCTCAGACACCAAATTAAAGAAGGAAGGGGTTTATTCGGCTGGGGACATCGGTAAGACTCCTGTCTCAAGAGCTGAGCTCCCCGAGTGAGCAATTCTAGTCCCTTTTAAGGGCTCACAACTCTAAGGGGGTCTGCGTGAGAGGGTCATGATCGATTGAGCAAGCAGGGGGTACATGACTGGGGGCTGCATACACTGGTAATTAGAATGGAACATAACAGGATAGGGATTTTCACAGTGCTTTTCTATACAATGTCTGTAATGTATGGATAACATAACCAATTAGGTCAGGGGTCGATCTTTAACTACCAGGCCCAGGGTGTGGCGCTGGGCTGTCTGCTTGTGGATTTCATTTCTGCCTTTTAGTTTTTACTTTTTCTTTCTTTGGAGGCAGAAATTGGGCATAAGACAATATGAGGGGTGGTCTCCTCCCTTACCCCCACCAATTTTTCTTTGAAAGGCTAGTAGAATTCAGCTGTGAATCCACCTGGTTCTGAACATTTTTTTTTTGGTTGGCAATTTTTTAAATTATTATTTCAATCTTGCTTCTTGTTATTAGTCTGTTCAGAGTTGTTTTTTTTTTAATCTAGGAGGATTGTACATTTGCAGGAATTTATTCATCTCCTTTACATTTTCTAATTTGTGCACATAAAGGTGTTCACAGTATCCCTAAATGATCTTTTGTATTTCTGTGGCAGCGGTTGCAATATCTTCTGTTTCATTTCTAATTGAGCTTATTTGGATCTTCTCTCTTCTTGGTTAATGCTGTTAATGGTCTATCAATTTTGTTTATCTTTTCTAAGAGCCAGCTTTTCATTTCATTTATCATTTGGATTTTCGTTGTTGTTGTTGTTTCAGTTTCATTTAGTTCTGCTCTGATCTTTGATATTTCTTTTCTACTGCTGGGTTTGGGCTTGGCTTGTTCTTGTGCCTCTAGTTCCTTGAGGTGTTATCTTACATTGTCAACCTATGCTCTTTCAGACTTTTTGATGGAAGAACTTGATGCTATGAACTTTCCTTTCAGCACCACTTCTGCTGTATCCCAGACGTTTTGATAGGTTGTGCCATTATTATTGTTCAGTTCAAAGAATTTTTAAATTTAAATCTTGATTTCATCCAAAGATCATTCAGAACCAGGTTGATCTTAAATTTAATTATTTATTTAATTTCCATGTATTTATTTAATTTCTACAATTTATTTAATTTCCATGTATTTGCATTGTTTTGATGGTTCATTTAGAGTTGATTTTGAATTTTATTCCACTGCAGTCTGAGAGAGTAGTTGATATAATTTTGATTGTCTTAAATTTATTGCGACTTGTTTTGTGACCTATCATGTGTCTATCTTGGAGAATGTTCCATGTGCTGATGAATAAAATGTATATTCTGCAGTTGTTGTGTGGAATGTTCTGTAAATATTTGTCAAGTCCATTTGTTCTAGGTTATAGTTTAAGTCCATTCCCTTTTTTGTTGTTATTGTTGACTTTGTCTTGATGACTTGTCTAGTGCTGTCAGTAGAGTATTGAAGTTCCCCATTATTATTGTGTTGCCATTTATCCCTTTTCTTAGATCTAGTAGTAATTGTTTCATGAATTTGGGAGCTCCAATGTTAGGTGCATATATATTTAGGATTATGATATTTTCCTATTGGACTAGTCCTTTTTTATCATTATATAATGTCCCTCTTTGTGTTTTTTATTTTTTACCTGTTTTTGCTTTAAAGCTTGTTTGTCTGATGTAAGAATGGCTACTACTGCTTGCTTTCAGGGTATCAGGGTACGTTTACATGGAATATCTTTTTCCAATCCTTTACCTTAAGTTTATGTTAGTCCTTATGTGTTGGGTGAGTCTCTGGAAGACAGCAGATATTTTATTGGTAAACTCTTATCTATTCTGCTATTGTGTATGTTTTAAGTGGAGCATTTAGGCCATTTACATTCAACATTAGTATTGAGGTGTGAAGGACTGTTCTATTCATTGTGCCAGTAGTTTCCTGAATACCTCTTATATTGTGTTATTGTTTTATAGGCCTTGTGAGATTTATGCCTTAAGGAGGTTCTATTTCAGTGTATTTTGAGGTTTTGTTTCAAGATTTAGAACACTTTTTAGCAGTTCTTACAGTGGTGGCTTGGTAGTGGTGAATTCTCTAAGCATTTGTTTGTCTGGAAAAGACCGTATCTTTCTTCATTTATGAAGCTTATTTTCACTGAATACAAAATTTGGGCTGATGCTTGTCTTGTTTAAGGAGGCTAAACATAGGACCCCAATCCCTTCTAGCTTGTAGGGATTCTGTTGAGAAATCTGCTGGTAATCTGATATGTTTTTCTTTATAGGTTACCTGATGCTTTTTTCTCACAGCTCTTAAAAATCTTTCCTGTATATTGACTTCAGATAACCTGATGACTGTGTGCCTAGGTGATGATCTTCTTGTGATGAATTTCCTTGGAGTTCTTTGAACTTCTTGTATTTGGATGTCTAGATCTCTAGTAAGGCCAGGAAAGTTTTTCTCAGTTATTTCCTCAAATAAGTTTTCCAAACTTTTAGATTTCACTTCTTCCCTGGGGACACCAATTATTCTTAGGTTTGGTTTTTTACATAATTCCAAGCTTCTTGGAGGTTTGGTTCATTTTTTAAATTCTTTTTTGTCTTCATTAGATTGGGTTAATTCAAAAGCCTTGTCTTTGAGCTCTGAAGTTCTTTCTTTTACTTGTTTGGATCTATTTTTGTAATTTTCTACTATGTTTTGCATTTCTCTAAGTGTGCCTTTCATTTCCAGAAGTTGTGATTTTTTTTTATTTATGCTATCTATTTCTCTGGTAATTTTTTTCACCCATATCCTGTATTTTAAAAAAAAAATTCTTTCAGTTAGTATTTATCTTTCTCCAGTGCCTCTTTAAGTGGCTTAATAATGGACCTTATGAATTCTTTTTTCTGCAATTCAGAGATTTCTTCTTGGTTTGCATCCATTGCTAGGGAGCTAGTGTGGTCTTTCCAAGGTGTTAAAAAATTTTTCCTTTGTTATGTTACCAAAATTGTTTTTTTGGTTCCTTCTCATTTGGGTTTTCTATGTCAGAGGAAAGAGCTGAGGCTCTAGGCTGCTGTTCAGATTATTTTGTTTCATGGGGTGATCCCTTGACATGATAGTCTCCCCTTTTCCCTTGGGATGGGGCTTCCTGAGAGCCAGGAATTGTTATTGATCTTCTGGGTTTAACCACCCAGTGGAGCTACTGGGCTCTGGGCTGGTACTGGGGAGTGTCTGCAAAGAGTCCTGTGATGTGATCTGTCTTCAGGTTTCTCAGCCATGGATTCTACCACCTGCTCTGGTAGAGGTAGCAGGGGAGTAAAGTGGACTCTGTGAGGGTGGTTGGTTGTAGTTCTGTTTAGTGCACTGGTTTTTTTTTTTCTTTTTTTGGATGCTGGTTGTTCTAGCAGTGAAGTTGTCACATGAAAGACTGAGGACTTCTGGTTAGCCAGGATGTTACAGGTGATGGAATTAGCTGTTGTTTTCTCCTTTATTGGAGTGAGGTTGTTCTTTTTTTTTTTTTTTTTTTTTGAGATGGAGTTATGCTCTTGTTGCCCAGGCTGGAGTGCAATCATGCGATCTTGGCTCCCCGCAATCTCTGCCTCCCAGGTTCAAGGGATTCTCCTGCCTCAGCCTCCCAGGTAGCTGGGATTACAGGCATGCACCACCAAGCCTGTCTAATTTTGTATTTTTAGTAGAAACTGGATGTGGTTTCTCTATGTTGGTCAGGGGGGTCTGGAACTCCTGACCTCAGGTGATCCACCCATCTCAGCCTCCCAAAATGCTGGGATTACAGGTGTGAGCCACACCACCTGGTTGGGGTTCTTTGATGAGTTGATGTAATGGCTTGAGTTGGTTGGCCTCCAACCTAGAGGTGGGATTTTCAATACGGCATCAGTTGTGGTAGTATAGGGTGTAGGCAAGCTTGCCATTGGGTCACCTGGATAAGTATTCAGGTTTCTCAGGCAATGGGTGGGAACATAGAGCTCCCAAGAGAGTATGTTTTTTGTCTTCAGCTACCAGCATGGGTAGAGTAAGGGCATCAGGCGAGGACAAGGTTAGACCTGTCTGAGCTCAGACCCTCCTTGGGTGGGGCTTGCTGCAGCTGCTGTGGGGTTGGGAGTATGGATCTCAGGCCAATGGAGTTATGTTCCCAGGGGGATTATGGCTGCCTCTGCTGTATCATACAGGTCAGGATGGAAGTGAAGGAAAGCCAGCAGTGACAGGCCTCACTCAGCTCCCATGAAGCCAGCAAGGCCAGTTTCATTCACACCCTACCCCACAAACAGCACCAAGTTTATATCCAGTCCGTGAGCAGTACTGAGATCTTGCCCCAGGCTATAAGCCTCCCCATTGAGAAAGCAACCTGGGCTTTCAGGCGCCACCCCTCACCACCTGCCATGGCTTTTGTGCCCGTATCTGTGCTTCTCATTCACTGTCCCCTCATCGATTCTGCCAAGGAACATTGACACTAGGTCAAAATTCTTACAGGGTTTAGCTGGAAGTTTTCTTCTCCCTGTAGCCCTTCCCCAATTCCACTGGCAGCCCTTCCCAAGGACCCCTGTGAGATAAAGTCAGAAATGGCTTCCCTGAGGATCAAGAGTGCCTATGGGGCTCTTCCCACTGCTTCTGCTTTTATATTTTGCTTGGCTCTCTAAATTCATTTCGGCCCTAGGTAAGGCTAAATCCTTCTCTGGTAATCTGGATTTTCAGGTTTTGAGTATGTGTGTTTAGAGGTGAATGTTCCTTCTCTTACACTTTTGGCACTTGCTGTTTTTCAGTTGTCTCGCAGAGGTTGCAGTGGCAAGCCACTTCTTTCAAAGAGTCTGTGCATTCTTTTGGTTTTCCTGGTATGTTCCTATGGTAGTTCTTGGAGTAAAAGTTCATGATGAGAGTCTCCACATGCTGTTCTGTCCATCCAAGCAGGAGATACAAATTAATCCTGTCTCCTGGCTACCTTTTTTTTTTTTTTTTGCCTTCTGAGAGAGAAATATTGATTGACCATCACAGATTTTAAAAAAAAGATCAGTAAGCATTCTCTCTCTTTCTTTATTGTTTCAAATAGAACTCTACTTTTTCTTCAGGCTACTGATTTAGTTTCTTATTATACATTTATTTATTTATTTATCTGTTTCTTATTGACTGTGCTCACCACTAGACCAACTGCAAATAATTCAACTGCAGAAATATAGGGTAAGTCTTTCATAAATGATTACTCATTAACTATAAATCCACAAAATTTTCATGTTAACATTCATCTGATCTGCCCTCATCTGGCCTGCTACAGAATGCTTGAAGTTAGATTAAAAATAATCTACCGATAAATATTCATTGATAGAACACTGAAAGGTGAAGCCTGCTGGTGAAAACATTGTTCCTTCATTACCAGAAATGAAGTAGATACATTTATTTCTTGACTTGGTATTATGCTTCATTTGTGTGTGTTTATTTTTATCCAGTACCATGCTATTTGCTTACTGTAGCTTTTTTTTGAGACAGGTTTCAGTCTGTTGCCCAGGGTGGAGTGCAGTTGCTTCATCGTGGCTCACTGCAGCCTCAACTTCACAGGATCTAGGAATCCTCTCACCTCCGCATCTCAAGTAGCTGAGACTATGGGTTTGTGCCATTAAACTCTGCTAATTTTTCTATTTTTTGTAGAGATGGTGTTTTGCTATGGTGCCAAGGCTGGTCTAGAACTCCTGGACTCAAGCAACCCACCTTGGCCTCCCAAAGTGCTGGGATCACAGGTGTGAGCCACTGCACCTGGCCTTACTGTAGCTTTGTAATATATTCAGAAACCAGGTAGTATGATGCCTCCAGCTTTGTTGTTTTTCCTCAATATTGCTTAGGCTATTCTGGGTCTTTCATGAATTGATAGAGATTTGATAATTACTTTTTAAATTCTGAGAAAAATATAATTGGAATTTTTATAAGGATTGCATTTAATCTGTAGATCACTTTGGGTAGTATGGACATTTTTACAATATTAATTCTTTCAATTCATAAGCATGGTGTATCTTTCAATTTTTTAGTTCCTTCAATTTATTTAATGTTTTAGAGTTTTTAGTGTATAGATCTTTTACCTCTTTCAATAAATTTATTTCTACGTATTTCATTCTTTTTTATGTTTTTGTAAATGAGATTATTAATCTCAATCCCTGTCTACACATCTATTCAACTTCAACAGATTTAGAGATTAAACCAAATACATGTGAAAATGCAGGAGAGGGAAGAAACTCAAAGTTTTCTAGTTTTGTAAAATACAGGTGCCCAGTTTAGCATCCTGTGTCATGCCTTGTGGTGCCAAGCATTGCATTAAGCTTAAACTTAAGCTCAAATTGACTTCTTATTTGGGATAACCCAAAGATAGAGAAATTCATCATCCTGATTTTACACAGATGGAGACGGCTGCTTAGAGAGAATAAATGAATATACAGAATCACATGGCTGGTACACAGTAAACTGGAACTTCTAGAAGAAACCATCTGACCTTGAACTTGAAATGAGCTGGGCAGCTTCTTACCATCTGTCTATGAAAAGGCCAGAGATACCAGAGGGTGGCCTTTGAGTCTTTGGTGAATAGGTGAAAACTTCAAATGTTGATACTCAGGAGAAAGGAGTTAGATTGACCCAACACTTGATGGAACACTTATTTTTAACTTAATGCAGCCATAAAAGTGTTTATAACATTTGGGGCTTTGAGTTCTTCAATTAAGGCAGAATTTCTATAGAGTATACTTTTCCCTATAAAATGTATTTAGCCATTGATAACTCTATGTAGCTCTGTGAAATATGTGCTTATTAGACAGATCAGGTGTTTTGGCTAAGAATAAGATGAATAATTGTGTTTGTAATAAAATATATTTATAAATAATTTTGATTCTGAATATTTAAAAACTATTAACTATTGTTTGAATATGTCTTTGTCCAAAACATATATATACATTTTATATAATATATAGAATATATGTATATATATAATACACACATAGATAATCATATGTAATATAGATGATAATATAACTGTACCTTCTGTGGCTATTATGAGCTTCATTGGTCACCAGCTCCAGGATATGGGGCATCAGGTACTCAAGAGTGGCAGCAAGAAACATAAGCATGGAAGAGTCCAGGCACTGGGCACAGCAGATCTCCCACAAGAGGTGTCCAAACATATCATGGAGAACTGCAGCTCTGCTCTTGCTAAGAAGGTGAATCTGCATTTTTTTTCTTTTTTTTTTTTTTTGAGAAGAAGTCTCTCTCTGTCACCCAGGCTGGAGTGCAGTGGCGCTATCTTGGCTCACTGCACGCTCCACCTGCCAGGTTCTACCAATTCTCCCGCCTAAGCCTCTCGAGCAGCTGGGACTACAGGCGTGCGCAGCCACGCCCAGCTAATGTTTTTGTATTTTCAGTATAGATGGGGTTTCACCATGTTGGCCAGGCTGGTCTTGATATCCTGACCTGGTGATCTGCCCGCCTCAGCCTCCCAAGTGTTTGGATTAGAGGCATGAGCCACCGCTCCTGGCCTCTTTTTTTTTTTTTTTTTTTTTTTTGAGACCGAGTTTTGCTCTTGTTGCCCAGGCTGGAGTGCAATTGCACGATCTCGGCTCACCACAACATCCGCCTCCCAGGTCCAAATGATTCTCCTGCCTCAGCCGCCTAAGTAGCTGGGTAGGCTGGTCTTGAACTCTGAACCTCAGGTAATCCACCGGCCTCGGCCTCACAAAGTGCTGACATTACAGGCATGAGCCACCGTGCCTGGCTATTTTTTTGCTTTGTTTGTTTGTTTTGTTTTTAGACAGAGTGTCACTCTGTCGCCCAGGCTGGAGTGACGTGGCATGAGTTCAGCTCAGTCCAACCTCTGCATCCTGACTTCAAGAGATTCTCCTGGCTCAGTCTCCTGAGTAGCTGGGATTACAGGCGTGAGTAGCTGGGATTACAGGCTCAGTCTCCTGAGTAGCTGGGATTACAGCCACCATGCTCAGCTAATTTTTGTAATTTTAGTAGAGACCAGGTTTCACCATATTGGTCAGGGTGGTCTTGAACTCCTGATCTCGTGATCTGCCCACTTGGGCCTCTGAAAGTTTTGTGATTACAGGTGTGAGCCTGGCCATTTGACTCTTTTTTGCACTGGTTATCATATCGGCTGATTCCTCAGATGTTAAATAAATATTTTAATATGTGTTCCTATCTTTATGAGTGTCACGAATTTATAATTTTTTAAAAAAACTACGTTTTAAGCACTTTTTATGTCACACTGATATGCCCAATGGATTTATCTACCAAAAGCACCCAGACTTCTATGACAGAGGGTTACACAGTTGAACCTGGGTGTTTTTATTTGAATATCTAGGTGACTAAAGCTTCAGTAGAACTTTGTGGACTCTGTTTTCATTTTAGTTTCAATTTTCCTTTCAGCTAACTTAGTGTTTCAGTGTTTTTCTGCTGCATTTAGAGCATATTATCTAGTCTTTATCATTGGCAACAGTGGCTTGAAGTTTGTTTATAAAATTATGTTTATCGAGATAAAATTCACATAACATCAAATTCAATATATTAATTATTTTCAGGTTTACACTTCAGTATCTTTTTGTGTATTTGCAATGCTTTACAATCATTACCACTGTGTAATTTTAGAACTGTATAATTAACAAAAAAAAATCTCCACACCCATCATTCAGCCACTTTCTATTTTCCCTAGCAGCCTCTGGCAACCATTAATCCACTTTCTGTTTCAAAGGATTTGCCTATTTTGGGAATTTTATACAAATGGATTCATAAAGTACATGACCCTTTTTGGATAGCTTTTTCCATCAAGCATAATGTCTTTAATATGTATCCATGTTGTGTCCCATATTGGCACATCATTCCTTTTTCTGGCGGAATACTATTGCCTTGTATACTACATCACATTTGTCTATCTAGTCCTCCATGGACTATTTGCACTGCTCTCACCTTTTGGCCATAACAAATAATGTTTCTATGGACACGCATATACATGTTTTTGTGTGGACCTATTTTGATTTCAGTTGAGTATATACTCAGAAGTGGAATTGCTAAGACATGTAGTAACTCTATGTTAACCTCAGGAAGAACTGCCAAAGTGTTTTCCAAAACTGCTGCCTAATTTTGCACTCTATGAGGGTTTCAATTTTTCCACATCTTCACCCACACTGATCTGTCTTCTGAAATATACCTGTACCCATAGGTATGAAGTGATATATCACTGTGGTTTTGACTTACATCTTTCTAGTGAATAAAGATGTTGTGCATCTTTTCATGTGCTCATTGGCCACTTGTACAGAATAAAAATCTTGGAGCCACTGGTCCAGATTATGAGTCTCAAACACATGTTACAAACAGATTTTCGGTGCTCCACAAGAAATAGCACTCAGCAAGGCAAATTTACTTCTATAAAAGGGTGCACCTCGTAAATTAAGCAATGGCAAGGGCACACAAAACAAAGGAAGTGCGAGTTTCTATTATCTCTAATGCAGCTTCTACTTCTGTGTCTTTCCTCTATCGGTTAGGGTTGGACCGCACAGTCTCAACTAGTCCCAACTGGCTAAATACTTCAAATTTTTTAGATAAGTTAGTCACATAAGGGAGTTAAGAGAGAGAGAATGGGGTCCATTATGTGGGAACTAGGAAAGCAACCTATTCTCTAAAAAGGAAAATAATGCAGACTGGGACTTGGGTTGCAACAATTTCATTCATGTCTAGGCATAGTTAGGTAAGTTGGTGCACAGTTGAGGTAAGGAATACTTGGAATTATAGAATAGAGAATGGGGAAACTGGATAAGCTATTTGAAGAGTGAACCTAACTGTATCTAACACACAAACACCATGCAATATGATAATGTTGTGCACAGTAAGCTGGTAATTCTGTTATTATCTAATGAAGAACAGTATCTTAAATCTTTTTTCTTTGAATTGTTTTTGCTGTTCGATTTGCCAATCACATGCATAGAAAAAATGGTATTTATCAGTGTATTTCCAATCCAGGACAAGATGTTGGGGGACCCAATATATTTGGGGGTTTGTAGTTTCAACTGTGCCCACCTGGAGTTCATGGGGCTGACAATGATGGCTGGAAGATACTCAAGAGGGAGGTGGTGGCAAAGCACACACCTCTGCCCACTCTGTGAACATAGAAAACATGTTTGCATGCAATATCACTGAGGAAATGCTTGAAATTAAAAGAAGTCATTGTCTGTGAAGCTGCTTTGGAGAATATGACCAAGATGTTGGCTATAGCCAGGTGCTTGAGAATCAAATCTGTGGACTTTAATATCCACCCGGTATAACAAAGTGGCAAAAAAAAAATTCCTCAATAATCCAACTGTTGTCTGAGAAAAGAAGATCATTCCTATTTCCAAATTCCTGGAGGCCTTTCATTATTTTCCAATTACTAATATTTTCATTCAGAGTGAGAATATCCTGCATTGACACATAAGGTCTGTTTTATTGTGGCAACTGAAATGGGCTATTGTTCACATACCATTGTTTCCAACTTAAAACTTTGTTTTTAAATTCCACTTTTCTTTCACTAAGATTTTTTCTATTCTCTCTCTATATATATATGTGTATATATACACACACACACACATAAACACACATATATATATTTATAAATTATTTGCATTAGGCTTGTGCTTTTCAAAATAAATTCCAGTGGTTGATATCTAGCTCACATGTTGTCAGGCATTTTCTATTTTAGTAATTTAATTTTCACCTATATTATTTCATTGAAATACACTTGAATCAAATATAAAACTTTAATATGAAAGATCTCACTGGCTTTTCTTGGAAAAACCTTTAATATGAAAATGCCATTGGCTTTTCTTTATTATTATAACTATATATAGTGTGATAACCTTATAGATATAGCATTATAAAACTACTATATTAATGTGTTATATTAATGTGTTACATACAATTTTTACAACAACTCTATGAAGTGGTTTATTATTCTGATTTTACCTATGAAGAGGGCTTAGATGAAAATAGGATAAATGACATTTCTAAAATCACCTCCTTGTAGGAGGCAGTTTCAGGAGTTGAAGATGCTTTTAACTATCATGCTGTCTCAACATCAGATATATTTTTTAAAAAATCCACATATTTTAAAAACATTTTTGTATCTCTTGTTAGTTGTTTAAAGAATGTTTGTACGTATTTATTTAATATTGCAATATGAAAATTTAAAATTTAAATAGGATTGCATAATTTATTGGCAAATATTATCTATAATGATTCAAAGATTCAAGGAGAATATAAACGTTCTGATTTAGCATCATCTTAAAATAAGTGGAATTTATCAAATGCAAAAATGGTTTCCTCTTGGAATTAAAACAGAAGCCTTTTTCAACTTAACCAAGAAGGAGCACATAATGGAATGCCTATTAAGAAAAGAGGCTTGAGGCCAGGCACCATGGCCTGTAATCCCAGCACTTTGGGAGGCTGAGGTAGGCAGATCACGGGGTCAAGAGATTGAGACAATTTTGGCCAACATGGTGAAACCCCGTCTCTACTAAAAATACAAAAATTAGCTGGGCATGGTGGTGCATGCCTGTAGTCCCAGCTACTCAGGAGGCTGAGGCAGGAGAATGGCACTCTAGCCTGGCACCAGGGCTAGACTCCATCTCAAAGAAAAAAAGAGAAAAGAAAAGGGAAACATGAGTAGAATGTAAAATTTGTAAAATATTGCATAGAGAAACTGAATTATCATAATTATATAGAGAAAATTAGTATTTGTGAATGCAAAATATCAAATAAAATTATGTCAGGGGGATGAAAGATCTCTGCAATTAGAATCACAAAACAATGCTGAAAGAAATCAGAGAAAGCACAAAGTAATGGAAAACATTCCATGCTCATGAATAAAAAGAATCAATATTGTTAAAAAGGCTATACTGTCCAAAATAATGTACAGATTCAAGGCTATTCCTATCAAACTACAAATAATATTATCCCCAGAATTCATTCTAAAATTTACATAAAATCAACAGAGTCTAAATAGCTGAAATAATCTTAAGCAGAAAGAACAAACCTGGAGGCATCACACTTCCCAACTTCAAACTACATTACAGGCTGCAATAATCTAAATAACGTGGTACGGGTAAGAAATCAGACACAGAGACCAATGGACCAGGTTAGAGAACCCAGATATAAAACCACCCATTTATAACTATCTGATCTTTGACAAAGTTGACAATAACAATCAATGGGGAAAGAACTTCTTATTCAATAAATGGTGCTGAGATAATGGACTAGCCATATGCAGAAGTTTGAAACTGGACCTCTCTCTCTCGCCATGTACAAAATCAACCTAACATTGATTGGAGACTTAAATATAAAATCTAAAACTGTAAAATCCCTTGAAGAAAACCTAGGAAATACCATTCCGCACATAGGTCTTGACAAAGATTTCATGATGATGACTCCCAAAGCAATTGCAACAAATACAGAAACTGACAAGCAGGACCTAATTAAACTTAAGAGCTTCTACACAGTGAAAGAAACTATCAATAAAGTAAACAGACAACCTGCAGAATGAGAGAAAATATTTGCAAACTATGCATCTGAAAAAGATCTAATATCCAGAATCTATAAAGAATCATAAATAAATCAACAAGCAAAATATAAACAATCCAATCAAAGAATGAGCAAAGACATAGACACTTCTCAGCCAGGCACAGTGGCTCATGCCTGTAATCCTAGCACTTTGGGAGGCCGAGGTAGGTGGATCATGAGGTCAGGAGTTTGAGACCAGCCTGGCCAACATGGTGAAACTCCATCTCTACTAAAAATACAAAAATTAGCCAGGCACAGTGGTGGGCGCCTGTAATCCAGCTACTTGGGAGACTGAGGCAGGAGAATTGCTTAAGCCCAGGAGGTAGAGGTTGCAGTAAGCTGAGATCCTGCCACTGCACGCTAGTTTGGGTGACAGAACAAGACTCCATCTCAAAACAAAAACAAAAACCAGACACTTCTCAAAAGAAGACATACACACAGCAAAAGAGCACATTAAAAAAATGTAAACGTTGCTAATTATTAGAGAAATGCAAATAAAAACCACAGTATTGTATTGGTGAGGATGCAGAGCAAAGGGAGTGTAAGTTAGTTCAGCCACTGTGGAAAGAGCAGTGTGAAGATTTCTCAAATAACTTTAAACTGTTTGACACAGCCATCGAAATATGGTATGAGGTCACCACTTCTCCTGTTGTCCTTCTCAGTTCCTCCCCAACCTCCCCTTTTCCCCAGTTTATAAGACAGGAGAAAAGGGAGAAAGCAAAAAGTTGAAAAGAAACAGAAGTAAGATAAATAGCTAGATGACCTTGGCACCACCACCTGGCCCTGGTGGCTAAAATATAATATTATTAACCCCTGACCAAAACTGTTGGTGTTATCTGTAAATTCCAGATATTGTATGAGAAAGTACTGTAAAACTTTTTATTCTGTTAGCTGATGTAGGTAGCCCCCAGTCATGTTTCTCACGCTTACTTGACCTATTATGACTTTTTCATGTAGACCCCTTAGAGTTGTAAGCCCTTAAAAGGGCTAGGAATTTCTTTTTTGGGGAGCTCGGCTCTTAAGATACGAGTCTGCCAATGCTCCCGGCCAAATAAAAAACCTCTTCCTTCTTTAATCTGGTGTCTGAGGAGTTTTGTCTGTGACTCGTCCTGCTACATTTCTTGGTTCCCTGGCCAGGAAGCAAGGTAATTGAAGGACAGTCGAGGCAGCCCCTTAGGTGGCTTAGGCCTGCCCTGTGGAGCATCCCTGCAGGGGACTCTGGCCAGCTTGAGTGACGCGGATCCTGAGAGCGCTCCCAGGTAGGCAATTACCCCGGTGGAAAGCCTCGTCAGAGCAGTGCGTGGCAGGCCCCTGTGGAGGATCAATGCAGTGGCTGAACACTGGGAAGGAACAGGCACTTGGAGTCCAGACATTTGAAACTTGGTAAGACTGGTCTTCGGAACTTGCCCACTCCATTTGAGTGGAAGCGTGGCCTGATCAACCACGGCATGCCTGTACTGGCACTTTGGTTTTTGTTTTTGACTTGACTTGAATTGCTTGATACTTTGGTTTTGGTTTGACCTGGCTTGGATTTCTGGATACTCTGATTTTGGTTTTGATTCTGGTTTGGTGAAAACTGAAAAAGTGTGTGTGTGCACTTTTTACCCATTCTTTGTTTTGTGGTGTGCATGTGGTGTGAGCTTGGTGTTTTGTCTTGAGGAAACATGGATCAGACACAAAATAAGCCTACTCCTCTAGGAACTATGTTGAAAAATTTTAAGAAGGGATTTAATGGAGACTATGGGGTTACTATGACACCAGGGAAACTTAGAACTTTGTGTGAAATAGATTGGCCAACATTAGAAGTGGGTTGGCCATCAGAAGGAAGCCTGGACAGGTCCCTTGTTTCTAAGGTATGGCACAAGGTAACTAGTAAGTCAGGACACTCAGACCAGTTTCCATACATAGACACTTGGTTACAGCTGGTGCTAGACCCCCCACAGTGGCTAAGAGGGCAGGCAGCAGCAGTGCTAGTAGCAAAGGGACAGATAGTCAAGGAAGGATTCTGCTCCACCCGCTGAGGGAAATCAACTCCTGAAGTTCTGTTCGACCAAACATCAGAAGATCCATTGCAGGAGATGGCACCAGTGATCCCAGTGTTGCCCTCCCCTTATCAGGGAGAGAGGCTCCCCACTTTTGAGTCCACAGTGCTTGCGCCTCTGCCAGACAAATGTATCCCTAGGCCACTCAGAGTAGACAAGAGAGGAGGTGAAGCCTCGGGAGAAACCCCTCCCTTGGCAGCTCATTTAAGACCCAAAACAGGGATACAAATGCCCCTGAGAGAGCAGCAGTATACTGGAATAGATGAGGATGGGCACATGGTGGAGAGTCGTGTTTTTGTGTACCAGCCCTTCACCTCTGCCGACCTTCTCAACTGGAAAAACAATACCCCGTCCTATACTGAAAAGCCGCAAGCTCTAATTGATTTGCTCCAAACTATTATCCAGACCCATAACCCCACTTGGGCTGATTGCCACCAGTTGCTCATGTTCCTCTTTAAAACAGATGAAAGGTGAAGGGTGCTTCAAGCAGCAACTAAGTGGCTAGAGGAACATGCACTGGCTGATTACCAAAACCCCCAAGAGTATGTAAGGACACAGTTACCAGGAACCGACCCCCAGTGGGACCCAAATTAAAGAGAGGATATGCAAAGGCTAAACCGATACAGGAAAGCTCTCTTAGAAGGATTAAAGAGGAGAGCCCAGAAGGCCACAAACATTAACAAGGTCTCTGAGGTCATTCAGGGAAAAGAAGAAAGTCCAGCAAAATTCTACGAGAGACTGTGTGAGGCTTATTGTATGTATACTCCCTTTGATCCCGATAGCCCTGAAAATCAACGCATGATTAACATGGCTTTAGTTAGTCAAAGCACAGAAGACATTAGAAGAAAACTGCAGAAAAAGGCTGGGTTTGCAGGGATGAACACATCACAGTTATTAGAAATAGCCAACCAGGTGTTTGTAAACAGGGATGCAGCAAGCCGTAAGGAAAACCACATAGAGAATGAACGTCAGGCCCGGCGAAACGCCGACCTGTTAGCTGCAGCAATTAGAGGGGTCCCCCCAAAGAGGCAAGGGAAAAGGGGGGCCCTGGGAAAGAAACTCAGCCTGGCTGTCAGAGCTTGCAGTGTAATCAGTGTGCTTATCGTAAAGAAATAGGATATTGGAAGAACAAATGCCCTCAGCTAAAAGGAAAACAAGGTGACTCGGAGCAGGAGGCTCCAGACAAGGAGGAAGGGGCCCTGCTCAACCTGGCAGAAGGGTTATTGGACTGAGGGGGACTGGGCTCAAGGACCTCCAAAGAGCCTATGGTCAGGATGACAGTTGGGGGTAAAGACATTGATTTTCTTGTAGATACCAGTGCTGAACATTCGGTAGTAACTGCCTCAGTCGCCCCCTTATCCAAAAAGACTATTGACATCATCGGAGCCATGGGAGTTTCAGCAAAACAAGCTTTCTGCTTGCCCCAGACTTGTACTATAGGAGGACATAAAGTGATTCATCAGTTTTTGTACATGCCTGATTGTCCCTTGCCCTTGTTGGGAAGAGACTTGCTTAGCAAACTGAGAGCCACTATCTCTTTTACAGAGCACGGCTCTTTGCTGCTAAAGTTACCCGGAACAGGAGTCATTATGACCCTTATGCTCCCCCGAGAGGAGGAATGGAGACTTTTCTTAACTGAGCCGGGCCAAGAGATAAGACCAGCTCTGGCTAAGCGGTGGCCAAGAGTGTGGGCGGAAGACAACCCTCCAGGGTTGGCAGTCAACCAAGCCCCCGTGCTTATAGAAGTTAAGCCTGGGGTCCAGCCGGTTAGGCAAAAACAGTACCCGGTCCTCAGAGAAGCTCTTGAAGGTATCCAGGTCCATCTCAAGTGCCTAAGAACCTTTAGAATTATAGTTCCTTGTCAGTCTCCATGGAACACTCCCCTCCTGCCTGTTCCCAAGCCTGGGACCAAGGACTACAGGCCGGTACAGGATTTGCGCTTGGTTAATCAGGCTACAGTGACTTTACATCCAACAGTACCTAACCTGTACACATTGCTGGGGTTGCTGCCAGCTGAGGACAGCTGGTTCACCTGCTTGGACCTGAAAGATGCTTTCTTTAGCATCAGATTAGCCCCTGAGAGACAGAAGCTGTTTGCCTTTCAGTGGGAAGATCCAGAGTCAGGTGTCACTACTCAATACACTTGGACCCAGCTTCCCCAAAGGTTCAAGAACTCCCCCACCATCTTTGGGGAGGCGTTGGCTCGAGACCTCCAGAAGTTTCCCACCAGAGACCTAGGCTGCGTGTTGCTCCAGTACGTTGATGACCTTTTGCTGGGACACCCCACGGCAGTCGGGTGCGCCAAGGGAACAGATGCTCTACTCCGGCACCTGGAGGACTGTGGGTATAAGGTGTCCAAGAAAAAAAGCTCAGATCTGCCGACAGCAGGTATGTTACTTGGGATTTACTATCCAACAGGGGGAGCACAGCCTGGGATCAGAAAGAAAGCAGGTCATTTGTAATCTACCGGAGCCTAAGACCAGAAGGCAGGTGAGAGAATTCTTAGGGGCTGTGGGTTTTTGCAGACTGTGGATCCCAAACTTTGCAGTATTAGCTAAGCCTTTGTATGAGGTCACAAAGGCGGGGGACCAGGAACCTTTTGAATGGGGATCCCAGCAACAGCAAGCCTTTCATGAGTTAAAGGAAAGACTTATGTCAGTCCCAGCCCTGGGGCTACCTGATCTGACAAAGCCTTTTACATTGTATGTGTCAGAGAGTGAAAAGATGGCAGTTGGAGTTTTAACCCAAACTGTGGGGCCCTGGCTGAGGCCGGTGGCCTACCTCTCTAAACAACTAGACGGGGTTTCTAAAGGATGGCCCCCGTGTTTGAGGGCCTTGGCAGCAACTGCCCTGCTAGTACAAGAAGCAGATAAGCTGATTCTTGGGCAAAACCTGAACATAAAGGACCCCCATGCTGTGGTGACTTTAATGAATACTAGAGGACATCATTGGCTAACGAATGCTAGACTTACTAAGTACCAAAGTTTGCTTTGTGAAAATCCCCATATAACCATTGAAGTTTGTAACACCCTGAACCCCGCTACCTTGCTCCCAGTATTAGAGATCCCTGTCGAGCATGACTGTGTAGAAGTGTTGGACTCAGTTTACTCTGGGCATCAGTAGACTGGGAACTATACGTGGATGGGAGCAGCTTTGTCAACCCACAAGAAGAGAGATGTGCAGGGTATGCGGTGGTAACTCTGGACACTGTTGCTGAAGCCAGATCGTTTCCCCAGGGCACTTCAACTCAGAAAGCTGAACTCATTGCTTTAATTCGGGCCTTAGAACTCAGTGAAGGTAAGACTGTAAACATTTACACTGACTCTTGATATGTCTTTTTAACCCTTCAAGTGCATGGAGCATTATGTAAAGAAAAGGGCCTATTGAACTCTGGGGGAAAAGACATAAAATATCAACAAGAAATCTTGCAATTATTAGAAGCAGTATGGAAACCCCACAAGGTGGCTGTTATACATTGCGGAGGACACCAGTGAGCTTCCACCTTGGTGGGTTTGGGGAATTCCTGCACTGACTTAGAGGCTCAAAAAGCAGCATCTGCCCCCTTCCGGGCATCAGTGACAGCCCCCCTGCTCCCTCAAGCACCTGATCTTGTACCTACTTATTCTAAAGAAGAAAAGGACTTTCTCCAGGCAGAGGGAGGACAAGTGATGGAGGAAGGATGGATTTGGTTACCAGATGGGAGAGTAGCTGTGCCACAGCTGCTAGGAGCTGCAGTTGTACTGGCTGTGCATAAAACCACCCATCTAGGTCAGGAATCACTTGAAAAGTTGTTAGGCTGGTATTTCTACATCTCGCATTTGTCAGCCCTTGCCAAAACAGTGACGCAGCGGTGTGTTACCTGCCGACAGCATAATGCGAGACAAGGTCCAGCTGTTCCCCCTGGCATACAAGCTTATGGAGCAGCCCCCTTTGAAGATCTCCAGGTGGACTTCACAGAGATGCCAAAGTGTGGAGGTAACAAGTATTTACTAGTTCTTGTGTGTACCTACTCTGGGCAGGTGGAGGCTTATCCAACACGAACTGAGAAAGCTCATGAAGTAACTCGTGTGCTTCTTCGAGATCTTATTCCTAGATTTGGACTGCCCTTACGGATTGGCTCAGATAATGGGCTGGTGTTTGTGGCTGACTTGGTACAGAAGACGGCAAAGGTATTGGGGATCACATGGAAACTGCATGCTGCCTACCAGCCTCAGAGTTCCGGAAAGGTAGAGCGGATGAATCGGACTATCAAAAATAGTTTAGGGAAAGTATGTCAAGAAACAGGATTAAAATGGATACAGGCTCTTCCTATGGTATTATTTAAAATTAGATGTACCCCTTCTAAAAGAACAGGATATTCCCCTTATGAAATATTATATCATAGGCCCCCTCCTATATTGCGGGGACTTCCAGGCACTCCCCGAGAGTTAGGTGAAATTGAGTTACAGCGATAGCTACAGGCTTCAGGAAAAATTACACAAACAATCTCGGCCTGGGTAAATGAGAGATGCCCTGTTAACTTATTCTCCCCAGTTCACCCTTTCTCCCCAGGTGATCTAGTGTGGATCAAGGACTGAAACGTAGCCTGTTTGTGTCCACGGTGGAAAGGACCCCAGACTGTCATCCTGAGCACTCCCACCGCTGTGAAGGTAGAGGGAATCCCAACCTGGATCCACCACAGCCGTGTAAAACCTGCAGTGCCTGAAACCTGGGAGGCAAGACCAAGCCCAGAAAACCCCTGCAGAGTGACCCCGAAGAAGACAACAAGCCCTGCTCCAGTCACACCCGGAAGCTGACTGGTCCACGCACGGCCGAAGCATGCAGAAGCTCATCATGGGATTCATTTTTCTTAAATTTTGGACTTATACAGTAAGGGCTTCAACTGATCTTACTCAAACTGGGGACTGTTCCCAGTGTATTCATCAGGTCACCGAGGTAGGACAGCAAATTAAAACAATGTTTCTGTTCTATAGTTATTATAAATGTATAGGAACATTAAAAGAAACTTGTTTGTATAATGCTACTCAGTACAATGTATGTAGCCCAGGAAATGACCGACCTGATGTGTGTTATAACCCATCTGAGCCTCCTGCAACCACCATTTTTGAAATAAGAATAAGAACTGGCCTTTTCCTAGGTGATACAAGTAAAATAATAACTAGAACAGAAGAAAAAGAAATCCCCAAACAAATAACTTTAAGATTTGATGCTTGTGCAGCCATTAATAGTAAAAAGCTAGGAATAGGATGTGATTCTCTTAACTGGGAAAGGAGCTACAGAATAAAAAATAAATATGTTTGTCATGAGTCAGGGGTTTGTGAAAATTGTGCCTATTGGCCATGTGTTATTTGGGCTACTTGGAAAAAGAACAAAAAGGACCCGGTTTATCTTCAGAAGGGGGAAGCCAACCCCTCCTGTGCTGCTGGTCACTGTAACCCACTAGAACTAATAATTACCAATCCCCTAGATCCCCATTGGAAAAAGGGAGAACGTGTAACCCTGGGGATTGATGGGACAGGGTTAAACCCCCAAGTTGCCATTTTAATTAGAGGGGAGGTCCACAAGTGCTCTCCCAAACCAGTATTTCAAACCTTTTATAAGGAGCTGAATCTGCCAGCACCAGAATTTCCAAAAAAGACAAAAAATTTGTTTCTCCAATTAGCAGAAAATGTAGCTCATTCCCTTAATGTTACTTCTTGTTATGTATGCGGGGGAACCACTATCGGAGACCGATGGCCTTGGGAAGCCCGAGAGTTGGTGCCTACTGATCCAGCTCCTGATATAATTCCAGTTCAGAAAACCCAAGCTAGCAACTTCTGGGTCCTAAAAACCTCAATTATTGGACAATACTGTATAGCTAGAGAAGGGAAAGACTTTATCATCCCTGTAGGAAAGCTTAATTGTATAGGACAGAAGTTGTATAACAGTACAACAAAGACAATTACTTGGTGGGGCATAAACCACACTGAAAAGAATCCATTTAGTAAATTTTCAAAATTAAAAACTGCTTGGGCTCATCCAGAATCTCATCAGGACTGGATGGCTCCCGCTGGACTATACTGGATATGTGGGCACAGAGCCTACATTCGGTTACCTAATAAATAGGCAGGCAGTTGTGTTATTGGCACTATTAAGTCGTCCTTTTTCTTATTACCCATAAAAACAGGTGAGACCCTAGGTTTCCCTGTCTATGCCTCCCGAGAAAAGAGAGGCATAGTTATAGGAAACTGGAAAGATAATGAGTGGCGCCCTGAAAGGATCATACAGTATTATGGGCCTGCCACATGGGCACAAGACGGCTCATGGGGATACCGAACCCCCATTTACATGCTCAATCGGATCATACGGTTGCAGGCCATCTTAGAAATAATTACTAATGAAACTGGCAGAGCTTTGACTGTTTTAGCTCGGCAGGAAACCCAAACGAGGAATGCTATCTATCAGAATAGACTGGCCTTGGACTACTTGCTAGCAGCTGAAGGAGGAGTTTGTGGAAAATTTAACTTAACCAATTACTGCCTACAAATAGATGATCAAGGACAGGTGGTTGAAAACATAGTCAGGGACATGACAAAGGTGGCACATGTGCCTGTACAGGTTTGGCACAAGTTTAATCCTGAGTCTTTATTTGGAAAATGGTTTCCAGCTATAGGAGGATTTAAAACCCTCATTGTAGGTGTATTGCTAGTGATAGGAACTTGCTTGCTGCTCCCCTGTGTATTACCCTTGCTTTTTCAAATGATAAAATATTTTGTTGTTACTTTAGTTCATCAGAAAACTTCAGCACATGTGTATTATACAAATCACTATCGCTCTATCTCACAAAGAGACTAAAAAAGTGAGGACGAGAGTAAGAACTCCCACTAAAAGTGAAAATTCTCAAAGGGGGGGAAATATGGTATGAGGTCGCCACTTCTCCTGTTGTCCTTCTCAGTTTCTCCCCAACCTCCCCTTTTCCCTAGTTTATAAGACAGGAGAAAAGGGAGAAAGCAAAAAGTTGAAAAGAAACAGAAGTAAGATAAATAGCTAGACGACCTTGGCACCACCACCTGGCCCTGGTGGCTAAAATAATAATAATATTATTAACCCCTGACCAAAACTATTGGTGTTATCTGTAAATTCCAGACACTGTATGAGAAAATACTGTAAAACTTTTTGTTCTGTTAGCTGATGTATGTAGCCCCCAGTCATGTTTCTCACGCTTACTTGATCTATTATGACTTTTTCATGTAGACCCCTTAGAGTTGTAAGCCCTTAAAAGGGCTAAGAATTTCTTTTTCGGGGAGCTCGGCTCTTAAGACACGAGTCTGCCAATGATCCCGGCCGAATAAAAAACCTCTTCCTTCTTTAATCTGGCGTCTGAGGAGTTTTGTCTGCGACTCATCCTGCTACACTATTACCAGATATATACCAAAGGGATATAAATCATTCTACTATAAAGACACATGCACACATATGTTCATTGTAGCACTTTTGACAATAGCAAAGATACGTAATCAATCTAGGTGCCCATCAACAGTGGACTGAATGAGAAAAATGAGGCACATGTACACCATGGAATACGAGTCAGCCATAAAACAGAATAAAATTACGTGCTTTGCAGCAACATGGATACAGCTGGAGGCCATTATTATAAGCAAATTAATGCAGGAACAGAAAACAAAATACTGCATGTTCTCACTTATAAATTGAAGCTAAACATTGAGTACACATGAATTCAAAGAGGAAAACAATAAACACCAGGGTCTACTTGAGAGTAGAGGGTGTGAGGAGGGTGAGGATAAAAAATCTACCTATCTGCCAGGCACGGCAGCTCACACCTGTAATCCCAGCACTTTGGGAAGCTGAGGCGGGTGGATCACCTGAGGTCAGGAGTTCAAGACCAGCCTTGCCACCATGCTAAACCCTTGTCTCTACTAAAAATACAAAAATTGGGCCAGGCACGGTGGCTCACTCCTGTAATCCCAGCACTTTGGGAGGCTGGGGTGGACGGATCATAAGGTCAGGAGGGCAAGACTATCCTGGTCAATATGGTGAAACCTGGTTTCTATTAAAAATACAAAAATTAGCCAGGCATGGTGGCATGCACCTGTAATCCCAGCTACTCAGGAGGCTATGGCAGGAGAATCACTTGAACCTGGAGGCGGAGGTTGTAATGAGCCAAGATCACGCAACTGCACCCAAGCCTGGGCAGCAAGAGCAAAACTCCCTCTAAAACAAACAAACAAACAAACAAACAAACAAACAACTTATCAAGTACCATGTTCACTATCTGGCTGGTGAAATAATGTGTACACCAAACCCCAGAGACATGCAATTTACCCATTTCACAAACCTGCACATGCACCCTTGAACCTAAAATAGAAGTTGGAAGAAAAAAGCACAAATAAAATAAGATTCAGAAATTAAGTAGATGAAACAACGATGATTTTAAAAACAGCTTTCTTGCTTTTCTAAAATATGGATGTTAATAGATGTTCTGGATCTTCAGCCCTCATCTTGGACCATGAAGAATGGAAAACAAATGTCAGGGGTGATGGAGCAGAGACATCCCTAAAGGCTTCCTGAAGCTGCCATACCACCCCAGGTATGCCTAACTCCTGACTTTTTATGTGAAAAAAAAATAATAACTTGTGTGTTTTAAGTCAGTATGGATAGATCGCAATTATTCATAGCTAAATAAAGTGAAATGAGCTGTTGCACTTGGAAAAAAAATAGCAATATTTTGAAAAATTCGCTCCAGTTACAACTTACCAACAGCAATTACAGCTCTTTGCCAGGTGTGGTGGCTCCTTCCTGTAATTTCAGCACTTTGGGAAGTTGAAGCAGGCGGATCACCTGAGGTCAGGAGTTTGAGACCAGCCTGGCCAAGATGGCAAAACACCGTCTCTACTGAAAACACAAAAATTAGTCAGGTGTGGTGGTGCGCGCCTGTAATCCCAGCTACTTGGGAGGCGGAGGCAGGAAAATAGCTTCGACCTGGGAGGTGGAGGTTGCAATGATCCAAAATCATGCCACTGAACTCCAGCCTAGGTGACAGAGTGGGACTCCTTCTCAAAACAGAAAAAAACAAACAAGAAAAATGATTACAGCTGTCTATTGTCCCCAGAGAAATGAAGGAATTTGGAACAGGCTTTTCTCATCTATGATTTCTGAAGAAAGAAAGAGGCTCACATGGAGGGAGAGGAAAATGCTGAGTGTGATATACGAAGAACAGACAGTGAAGTCAGCGTGTCTTTCTGGGTTCTGCGCTTCCTTTAGGTGTTCCTCTGCTAAAAAGCAAATTTTCTGTGAATCTTCAAATTCCTGAGCAAAACTATTCTTTTTTTTTTTTTTGAGACGGAGTCTCACTCTGTCGCCCAGGCTGGAGTGCAGTGGCGTGATCTCGGCTCACTGCAAGCTCCGCCTCCTGGGTTCACGCCATTCTCCTGCCTCAGTCTCCCAAGTAGCTGGGACTACAGGCGCCCACCACCACGCCAGGCTAATTTTGTATATTTTTAGTAGAGACAGGGTTTCACCGTGTTAGCCAGGATGGTCTCGATCTCCTGACCTCGTGATCCGCCCACCTCGGCCTCCCAAAGTGCTGGGATTACAGGCTTGAGCCACCGCGCCCGGCCCAAACTATTCTTTCATATTTAATCAGGAAATGTGAGCATATGAAAAGCTTGAGGCCGGGGGCGGTGGCTCACGCTTGTAATCCCAGCACTTTGGGAGGCATATGCGGGCGAAATCACCTGAGGTTGGGAGTTCGAGAACATCTTGACCAACATGGAGAAACCCTGTCTCTACTAAAAACACAAAAAATTAGCCGGGTGTGGCGGTGCATGCCTGTAATCCCAGTTACTTGGGAGGCTGAGGCAGGATAATCACTTGAACACGGGAGGCGGAGGTTGCAGTGAGCGGAGATCACGCCATTGCACTCCAGCCTGGGTAACAAGAGCGAAACTCCACCTCAAAGGAAAAAAAAAAAAAAAAACCTTGAGTAGAATATGTGAAAGGTTACAGTGCAAAAAAAAACCTTGAAATTAAATATTGATATAAACATAAATGGGGCAAATATGTGCAATTTAATGTAAACTAACATGCAAATGTTGATTTATTTTAGGAATAAATGTTATCAGCATTTATCCTCACAGAGTTAGAGATTGTAAAATGTTCAATATTTACAGAAGAAACAGAGACATATCTCAAAGGGTTATTCTCATATAGAAAAACACCAACATTATATACTTGAGAGAGAAATTCTACTTATTAAATAGTTGATAAACTGTTGCTATCTAGACTGTTCAAGAGTTTTAATGTAGGCAATCTTCCCACTACTTATGTGTAAGTGTTCATAAGAGGGATATGAGAACTTTGCTTAAACAAACACATATAGAATATTACAGTCATATAGAACATATAAATATAATGTAAAAATTTTAAATATTGGAAGCCATTGTGTCAGCATACTAAAACATATAATTATATTATGATCCAGGGTATTTTATGCTAGAAATGCAAGTCAGATTTAGCATTTGGAAATCCACTAACAAATTAGTTAAATAATTTAAACCAATAGAATGTCATGTTTCATGTTCATAGCTATAAATAAAGACATTACCAGAATTCTACAGAAAAATTTATATATATATTTGTACATATATATATATATATATATATTTTTTTTTTTTTTTTTTTTTTTTTTTAGATAGAGTCTCGCTCTGTTGCCCAGGCTGGAGTGCAGTGGTGCGATCTTGGCTCATTGAAACCTCTGCCTCCCAGGTTCAAGCAACAATTCTGCCTCAGCCTCCCGAGTAGCTGGGACTACAGGTTTGTGCCACCACACCCAGCTAATTTTTGTATTTTTGGTTGATATGGGGTTTCACCATATTGGCCAGGCTTGTCTCAAACTCCTGACCTCGTAATTCGCCTACCTCGGCCTCCTAAAGTGCTGGGATTATAGGTGTGAGCCACTGTGCCTGGCCTAGAACATTATATTTTTAAAAAATTAGTAAGGATTTAGCAGAAAGTATTTCTGAAAAACATGAATAACAGATCTGTACAAGTAAAAGTTAGTGGCAATACATGTTTGAAAAGGAAGATTCAACAGAATTGGGTCAATGATCTTTTAATCAGTTTAAAAATTGAGTTGAATCCAACAGAGACACCGTCTTATTGTGTTCTGAAAATAGAAATTTTACTGCAAAGAAGAATAAATGAATAAAGATATATGTAAAAAGTATAAAGGCTCACACCTGTAATTCCAGCACTTTGAGAAGCCGAGGTGGGTGGATCACCTAAGGTCTGGAGGTGGATACCAGCTGACCAACATGGTGAAATCCCACCTCTACTAAAAATACAAAACATTAGCTGGGCATGGTGGTGCATGCCTGTAATCCCAGCTACTTGCGAGGCAGAGGTAGGAGAATCACTTGAACCCGGGAGGTGGAGGTTGCAGTGAGCTGTGATCACGCCATTGCACTCCAGCCTGGACAAAAAGAGCAAAAACTCTGCCTCAAAAAAATAAAAATAAAAAAAGAAAGAAAGAAATATGAAGTGACATCTTCTGTCATGTGTTATAAGGAATTGAAAAGTTAAATAATGTAGTTTTAATTTATGAACTGATTTAGAGACAAATGGAATATAAAATTCAAAAATAGTATGAAATATATATGAAATGTAGTGTATGACAGATGCAGCAGTAGTGAAATTGATGTGCACTCAATGTGTCTCACTGGAGACTAAAGCCCACATATATGCAGTGAGGACCTTGTCTCCCAATGTTTTATTTTTGCACATCTGATGTTTTCACATGTGCAGGGAAGAGGTTTAATATTTGATTGTCTTTGGCTATGGTCTGATGGATGAGTTTCTCCTGACTCAATAAACATTGTAACCTGTTCTCAGAGTTCACAGTATGTCTCTTGGTAAACATAGATGCTACTACTGTCTGCAAAGGTTGACCATCTACAACAGACACTCTTGCTCTGTTTGGGAATAGGTATGTATTGTTTCAGTAGTTATTTTCAGTTGAATTTTCTGGGGGACGCCCCCATGCCCTTGTCCCACATGAGGTAATTGTCTTAAAGTAGTTCAGGAAGGACAACTTTGCGTAGACTCTGGAATGGGCTGCTTCAAAGTAGGATACTCCATATAACCTATATTCTAATATGCAACCAACAAAAGACAGTACATTTTTTGTGTGTGTGTGAAAAAAAGCTTTTAGAGAAAATAGGCAAGGCATGGTGGCTCATGCCAATAATTCCAGAACTTTGGGAGGCCATGATAGGAGTATCACTTGAGGCCAGGAGTTTGAGATTAGGCTGGGCAACATAGGGAGACCTAGTCTCTACAAAAAAAGGAAATTAATAGAGCATGTTGACACAACTGTACTCCCACCTACTCAGGAGCCCAAGGCAGGAAGATCACCTGAGTTTAGGAATTCCAGGCTACAGTGAGCTATAATCACACCACTGCATTCCAGCCTGAGTGACAAAGTAAGATCTTGTTTATAAAAAAAATTGAAACAAAGATTCTTTGTTATAAGAAATAAAACTAATCTTAAGTAGATGTGCTATAATGTAAATTAACAGATGTTTTATGCCTATATTGAAACTTTTGTTTGTTTGTTTGTTTGTTTGTTTTTGAGATAGAGTCTCACTCTGTTGCCCAGGCTGGAGTGCAGTGGTGTGATCTCGCCTCATTGCAACCTCCGCCTCCCAGGTTCAGCTGTAATCCCAGCCACTCAGGAGGCTGAAGAAGGAGAAATAACATGGTGAAAGTACCAATAAACATGGTGAAATACCATCTCTACTAAAAATACAAAAATTAGCCTGGCATGGTGGCACATGCCTGTAGTCCCAGCTACTTGGGAGGCTGAGGGAGAAGGATCACTTGAACCTGGGAAGTGTAGGTTGCAGTGAACCAAGATGGCATCACTGAACTCCAGCCTGGGGGATGGAGTGAGGCACTTGTCCTTAAAAAAAAAATACTTTTATCTAATGAAAGAAATCAGAAGGAGCAAAGAGTAGAAAGATATACCATGATCATGAATGCAAATACTCCATATTGTTAAGATGTCAGTTCCTCCTAGCTAGATCTGTGATGCACTACAGCCTTAAACAAAATTCCATGAACTTCTTTTGGGGCTACTGAAAAACTGATTCTGAAGTTTACATATAGAGGCAAAAACCTACATGCAGAGGCAAAAGACCTAGAGTAGCCAACACGATATTGTAGAAGAATAATAAAATTGGATGATTGAGACACTACTCAGCTTCAAGATTAAATATAAAGCTACAGTAATCAAGACAGTGTGATACTGGTAAAAGAACAGACAAATCAGTTGATGGAAAGAATGCAGAGCCCAGAGGTAAGCCCATATTAATACACTGAATGAATCTTTGACAAAAGACTAAAGGCAATACAATGCAGCCAAGAGAATCCTTTCAACAAATGATGCTAAAACAATTGGACATCCACATACAAAAGCATGAATCACAAACATTACAACCTCACAAAAACTAACACAAATGGATCACAGACCTAAATTTAAAATGCAACACTATAAAATTCCTAGAATGTAATTAGGAGAAAATCTAGATGACCCTGGATTTAGCAATTAGAATTTAGATAATATACCACTAGTTCATTTTCTGAAAGTAAAATATTGATGTCAAATTTACCAAAATTAAGCATTTTTGCTCTGTGAAAGACACTGTATAGAGAATGAAAAGAAAGACACAGTATGGAAGATAATATTTGCAAAAGATATATCTGATAAAGATTGTTATCCAAAATATAGAAATAATTTTCAGACAACAATAAAACAAACGACCTGACTAAAAAATAAAAATAAAGAGTGAGCCAAAGACCTCAATCAACACCACACCTGAGGGCAGCAGGAATGAAATAACCACAGGTAAACCACTGCTTACTACTGTTGCCCACCTTTCTTTCAGAGAACAGACAGTGAACAAAGGATGATGGGGCAACAAGAGAAGAAAACTCTATGTCTTGAGATCTCTACACTGTCTGGACCTTTAATATTTACTAGGAAGAAAATAGATTAAAGGCAAACTTATTTTGCTATTTGGCCTTGACACTAATGGTCAGGCTGGGGTTATCCGTTTTCTCCTGTGGTGTGGGAAACTGAGTGAATATAAGCGCCAATCACATGCATACATGTCCACATGTATTTCTGCATTTCTTTTCTTTTCTTTATTTTTTGAGACGGAGTTTTGCAGTTGTTGCCCAGGCTGGAGTGCAATGGCATGACCTCAGATCACAGCAACCTCCACCTCCTGGGTTCAAGTGATTCTCCTACCTCAGCCTCCTGATGAGTAGCTAGGATTACAGGTATGTGAAACGACGCCCAGCTAATCTTTTGTATTTTTAGTAGAGAGGGGGTCTCTCCATGTTAGTCAGGCTGGTTTCAAACTCCCAACCTCAGGTGATCTGCCCGCCTTGGCCTCCCAAAGTACTGGGATTACAAGCATGAGCCACCACACCCAGCAATATTTCTGCATTTCAAAAAAAAACATTTCTGCATTTCTCAACATTATCTTACAAGACATCTAACTTTAAATAGGGAAAAATATCAGTACTTTTATGCTGCTCAGCATTAGAAGGTAACTAGTAACCAACCTGTCATTAAATCTTGGCATTCTATCTGCACTGGGTGCACGTATTAGTTAGCTATGCAGCATAACAAACCATCCAAAACTGATTAGCTCATAATTGAACTGCTCAGCCATTTAGGCTGGACTCAGTGGGGCCATTCTTCTGTTCTCAGCTGAGCTTCTTTAGACATGTATCATGAGCTGCTCATTGACTAGGAAGGCAGCTGTGCTTCTAGGGGTGAGCTTCTGCTTCTGGGGCTGTCAACAGGGGCAACTTGCTTCTCCTCCCCATGGTATCTTATCCTCCAGCTGGCTAATATGGGCTTGTTTCATGAAGATGGCAGCATTCTGAAAGAAAAACAGAAGCAGGCCCAGCATGGTGGCTCACGCTTGTAATCCCAGAACTTTAGTAGGCCAAGGTGGTTGGATCACCTTAGGTCAGGAATTTGAGACCAGCCTGGCCAACATGGTGAAACCTTGTCTTTACTAAAAATACAAAAATTAGCTGGGTGTGGTGGCACATGCCTGTAGTCCCAGCTACTCAGGGGGCTGAGTCAGGAGAATTGCTTGAACCTGGGAGATGGGGGTTGCAGTCAGCCAAGATCACGCCACTGCACTCCAGCCTTGGTGACAGAGAAAGACTCCTTCTCAAAAAAAGAAAAAAAAAAAAAGAGAGAAAAGAAAAACAGAAGTAGCCAACACTATTTGAACCTAGGCCCCAAAATAAGACATTGTCATGTTCCCAGGTTTCTACTGCCCTAAGCAAAAAAGGCCAGCCAGATCAAGTGTTTGGAAAATAGATTCTGAATCTTGATGGGAATGGCTGTAAAAGCACCTGGCAATGGACATGAATACAGGAGGGATGAAAAATTGCTACCATATTTGTAATCAGTATCCTTCTGCTGTTGTTTGTCTCTTTGTTTGTTTGTTTGTTTGTTTGTTTTGAAAGGGAGTCTCACTGTTGCCAGGCTGCAGTGCAGTGATGCCATTTTGGCTCACTGCAACCTCCGCCTCCTGGGTTCAAGCTATTCTTGTGCCTCAGCCTCTTGAGTAGCTGGGATTACAGGCCCACACCACCACACCCAGCTAATTTTTGTATTATTAATAGAGACAGGGTTTCACCATGTTGGCCAGGATGGTCCCCATCTCCTGACCTCATGATCCACCCGCCTCGGCTTCCCAAAGTGCTGGGATTACAAGCATGAGCCACCACACCCAGCCCATTCTGCTTTTTCTGCATATGTGGTCTATAGAACTCTTCCATATCAAGAAATTGTCTGAATACCCACAGCTACTACGTGGCTGGGATGGGACTCAGGATCAACTCTGACTCCAAAGCCTATGTACCTCCATGGATCACACTATTCAAGTAGCTGTCCTAGACTCTTAAAATCCTGGAGAGTGACACTTCAAAAATAGAAACCAGATTGCTTTTAGATTTGTGCCCACATAGTACTGTTTATTGTTGGGAATAATCTCAAGAAATTACTGAAGCACATGGTGGCTCACATCTGTAATCCTAACACTTTGCGAGGCTGAGATGGGAGAATCACTGAAGCTCAGGAGTTCAAGTGCAGCCTGGGCAACATAGTAAGATCCTGTCTCAATACAAAACAAATTTAAAAAATTAACCAGGCATGATGATACTCAGGTGTCTAGGGTAGGAGGATTGTTTAAGCCTGGAAGGTGGAGGCTGCATTAAGCCATGATTGATTACACCACTGCACTCCAGCCTGGGTGACAGAGTGAGACTCTTTCTCAAACAAAACAAAACAAAAACAAAAAAGAAATTGCAAAAGCATTTTGAAAGAACATAGAATAACTTGGAAAAAATAGCTGACATAGCTGATATGGAATAATTTGGAAAACATAACTTATTTTTGATAATCAAAGTCCAACAACACATAACTTATCTTTTTATCATACAAAACATTTGAAAACTTTTAAATGAAAAAAACTTCAGAGAAATTAAGTTTCACATAGTTTAATTGAGCAAAGAATAATTTGCAAATTTTAAGCAGCCTATGGGTCCCGAGTAGCCTCAGAGAGACTCCAGCACAGCCACGTGGAAAAAAAGATTTATATACAGAAGAAGCAAAGTGACATACAGAAAATAGAAATGAGGTACAGAAACAGCCAGATTTATTACAGCTTGGGATTTGCCTTATTGGAATATGGTTTGACCAGCTGATGTTCTTTTATTGGCAAAAACATAGTGGTTGGTACAAGAATAAGTTACAATCTATTTACATATTCAGCTAGCTTTTAGTTTACTGTGTACAGAAAATCCTATTAACAAAATTAAACATAAAAGCGATCAGCTTTAGGCTATAATTAATTTAACAATATCTCCCTTTTGGTTATCTCCTCAATTTCAAGAAATTAAACAAAACTTCAGGCGTTGATATTACTTTGTCACCATCAAAAATGTACTTATTTAGTCTCAAATTCCACTGTAAAATAGCAGAACTGTGGGTTTTATAAAGTGAAAACAAGTACTTCAGGTTATTATTTTTTAAAATGATTACAGTAGAGGAGACCTCCTTGTATCGAAATCTGCTTTTCACCAAAGAAAAACAAGACCTGGCCAGTTTTAGAATCCACCTATTTCTTTAAACTTTCAGTTTGACTATGTCGCATTCAACATGAATGACTCTATTTTTGTTTGGTTTGGTCTGTTTGAGCCTAGTGAACAAGCTCAGTCCAGAATGATGGCCTCCAATAATTTTGTTTAAAAAATGTCCCCCTTTTGATTAGGTTTTCACATAGGTCAGAGTGTGACCAAAACTCAGCATCTTAGTGTCACTCTCAGTTTCCATTATTTTTGATTTCCGTTCTTATCAGGTCATTCATAGGTTATGGTGTTCTCATGGTCAAATACATTTTCAAGTTTTCATCATTCCAGTTAAAGAGAGACCACTTGACATTCTAGAGATGACTGCATGCAAAGATTTATAACTTTTGAGAGAATAGAATGCAGTAGGGAGACTATATTTTGATTATCAGGAAAATAATATCAAGAGTTAGAAGTACGATTTTTTTTTTTTGAGACGAAGTCTCACTCTTGTCACCCAGGCTGGAGTGCAATGGTGCGACCTCAGCTCACTGCAACCTCTGCCTCCTGAGTTCAAGTGATTCTCCTGCCTCAGCCTCCCAGGTAGCTGGGGTTACAGGCATGTGTCACTACACCTGGCTAATTTTTGTATTGTTAGTTGAGACAGGGTTTCACCATGCTGGCCAGGCTGGTCTCGAATTTCTGACCTCAGGTGATCCACCTGCCTCGGCTTCCCAAAGTGTTGGGATTACAGGCGTGAGCCACCGCACCCGACCAGAAGTATGCTTTTTAACCAAGGTTCCCATGAACCAACCAACTAAGATTAAATAGATCAAACAGTTAGCTAGTTAAATGGTCTACTCATTTCAACCAAGCAGTCTGTTCATTAATTTCCTACAACTGAATCTCTGTAATACTCGATGTATTTCTCCATGTGCAACTACAAATACTACCAACTGCACAGATACTTCTCTGTTTATCCAGTAAGTAAACTAGATAAATTATTTTATTTAGCACAACTTTATTAAAAAAATATTAAATTCTATTGTGTAACCATAGCCTTTATGGTGGAATCTGCTATAGAGCCTGTTATGGAAGATAAATTTCTAATCATTGCCTTATTTACTCTAAGCCTTTGAAAAAAAGACCTAACAAATGATCACTCAGAAGACTAATGGCCTCCTGGCAATGCTCTTTATGCTATTCTGAATAAGTTTATCTTTAACTTAATATTGCTCCAAGAGCAGTTGATCAATATTCTGTTTCTGATATTATGAGGCAACAAATTTCCCATTACAATTTCTCACCCGCAGTGGCCCTTCATCTTTTACCTATTAAGACATAAGTTTTTTTAAATGTTGGCTGTAAAATTATTTACATATATAAGTATACCCCATGAGAGCACACAAGAGATCCCTTTTTTATTTCTGTTGTGTGTAGAGGCATAAAAAAAGAAACTGTGAACTAAGAGCGTCATGATATCAGAGAGGTCTTCATTTTTTATCTTGTGGAAACAGCTTTCTACCTCAAGGTTGTCATCTTCTTTTGAGGAGAAACTTCTCCGGTTAGCTTTACCTCAAGATCTCCAATTAAAATCTCCAATAAGATTACAAGAGTTTAGAGGGTCCCCTTTGAGTTGTAACGTTATGAACCCAAGGTTTAAAGTCCCGAAGTCTTGCTACATTGTAGATGGCAAGCAGATTCAGTCTCTTTGTTCTAAATTATAAAAGGTTTTCCTGTTCCCAGTCAGTAGACTATTAAAAGCTTTTCTGGACAGATGCAGTGGCTCATGCCTGTAATAGCAGCATTTTGGGAGGCCAAGGCAGGTGGATCACTTGAGGCCAGGAGTATGAGACCAGCCTAGCCTAAAAACAGAAAAATTAGTAGAGCGTGGTGATGCACACCTGTAATCCCAGCTACTCAGGAGGCTGAGGCATGAGAATCACTTGAACCCAGGAGGCAGAGGTTGCAGTTAGCTGAGATCACAAAACTGAACCCTGGGTGACAGTGAGACCATCAAAAAAAAAAAAAAAGCTTTCTTTACCTTGTGAAAATATGCTTTGCCATAATGCATTAGAGCCTTGCCACATTTAGTAATATTAGACTTCAGTAGCAGATTATACATGACGTTCTATTATTAGGTGCATAGGTCTTCCAATGACTCTTTATAAAAGTCAACACGTTTTTTCCACTCTAAGTGGATCTGAGTGTCATCAATTGCAATTACAAAAACAATCTAGTGAATTTAGTTAGCTTTGCTCAGTACTATTGTATCTGTAATATCTTATTTAACAGTTTTACAACTTTTCTAGTGAAATAAGTATCTTTGTAATTGGAGACCTTTTCAGCAAGTCTTCATGAGGAAAAGAAAGTCTTAGTATCCTTTTAGCTACCGCTATAATAACAACCTTCTTGCATCAGAAAGCTTTTATACTACCAGAAAACATGCATTAAAAATGACAATTGCCAGGCATGCAATTTTCTGTCTGGTGCTCACATCTGTAATCCCAGTACTTTGGGAGGCTGAGGCGTGAGGATCATCTGAGGGCAGGAGTTCAAGACCAGACTGACTAACATGGTAAAACCCCATCTCTACTAAAAACACAAAAATTACCTGGGAGTAGTGGTGGGTGCCTGTAATCCTAGCTACTCGGGAGGCTGCGGCAGGAGAATTGCTTGAATTCAGAAGGCAGAGGTTGCAGCGAGCCAAGATGGTGCCATTGCACTCCAGCCTGGGCAACAAGAGTGACACTCAGTCAAAAAAAAAAAAAAAAAAAAGCCGGACGAAGTGGCTCATGCCTGTAATCCCAGCACTTTGGGAGGCCAAGGCGGGCAGATCACGAGGTCAGGAGTTCAAGACCACCTTAGCCAATATGGTGAAACCCTGTCTCTACTAAAAATACAAAAATTAGCTGGGCATGGTGGTGTGTGCCTGTAGTCCCAGCTACTAGGGAGACTGAGGCAGAAGATTCGCTTGAACCCAGGAGGCCAAGGTTGTAGTAAGCTGAGATCGTGCCACGGCACTCCAGCCTGGGTGACAGAGTGAGACTCTGTCTCAAAAAAATAAAAGACAGTTTCTGTATAAATGTTTAAATCACACATGAGGTAGCAGAAACATACATAAACTTTTAATATTCTTCTAAGAATTATAAGTTTGAAAAAGGAATTGGTCTTAACCTAGTGTAGTAATTTAGAACAGTCATCACACACACACACACACACACAGACATACACACACAAACACACATTCAATTTATATTTAATGTACATTACTTTATCTTTTCTGTGATTAGTAGTGAAATGCGTAGCTTTAAATAATGGAAACTTCAAGAACTCAGGAATAGGGTCCGAATGTGGTGGCTCACGCCTGTAATTCCAGCAGTTTGGGAGGCTGAAGGGGGTTGATCACGAGGTCAGGAGTTTGAGACCAGCCTGGCCAACATGGTGAAACCCAATTTCTACTAAAATTACAAAAAATAGTCAGGCGTGGGGGTGACCACCTGTCATCCCAGCTACTTGGGAGGCTGAGGCAGGGGAATCGCTTGAACCTGGGAAGTGGAGGTTGCAGTGAGCCAAGATCATGCCATTGTACTTCAGCCTGGGTGACAACAGCAAAACTCCATCTCAAATAATAATAATAATAATTAATTAATTAATTTTTAAAAAAAGAACTCAGGAAATATCAAGTGGCTGCCTAGGTTCTCCATGAGTCCACACTGAACATTAAGTTTATGTCTTTTTAAACACTAGGTTACTTTCCCAAATTTAGGTGCGCAGCACTGATACCTGAGAGGTTATCATAGGTCATTTGACTTGGACCACAGAGTTGATTTACAAAGTATATCTAAAACATTTCCATACTGCCTGATATAACTTTAAAAATGTGGCACAGTATTTTTGTAATAGTCAATTAATTTTTGTCTTGTGTAGGCTTACAGGTGTTTTTGTTTGTTTGTTTTTGTTTTCATTTTGTTTTGTTTTGTTTTGTTTTGTTTTGAGATGGAGTTTCTCTCTTATTGCCTGGGCTGGAAATGGCACGAGTTTTGCTCACTGCAACCTCTGCCTCCCAGGTTCAAGTGATTCTCCTGCCTCAGTCTCAAGTAGCTGAGATTACAGGCATGCGCCACCACACCTTGTTAATTTTGAATTTTTAATACATACGAGGTTTCTCCATGTTGGTCAGGCTGGTCTTGAACTCCCGACCTCAGGGGATCTGTCTGCCCTGGCCTCCCAAAGTGCTGGGGTTATAGGCATGAGCCACCACACCCCAGCCTGGGCTCAAAGTTTTTTAGGAGTCTGTCTCTTCATTCAAATTCTCACAATCCTTAGCCAGTCCAAATATAATATGATCCTAAAATTATCAGAAGCCTGTACTTAACTTGTGTGGACCCTTTCCATCTTTTCGTACAACTCTTTAAAGACACAGTCCTCTAGGATGTTATGTGCTTTTGAAGTTTTTAGAAACTACATCAGAATTAAACCATTAACTGTGAAAATGACTTAAAATGGTTATGAAGAAATAAATGAAAAAATGATTATACCTGTAGTCTATAATAATTTATCATAAAAACCATAATTATTACTAGTAGCATATACTCAGATACATTGGATTTTTAGAGATTTCATATAATTTTGAAATGAATATCATAACATTTATTAAAATATGTTGATAAAGGTCAAATTTTTAATTTGACAATGCTTTCCATGTAATTTAACATATCAAAGAATTCTGTTTATCACTCTTTCAAATGCTGCATTGGACTTATGTAGCATTCAAATATTAGGGGTCAAATACACACAACTTTTAAGCTGAATTTTAATTTTGGGAAGCCTGCCAAATATGTCAAAGGGTTAAAATACTTGAACAAAATGGGATCACAGTCCACTATTAAATAATAATCATTCATTTAGCCAAAGCAATAATTAAAAGATTTATTTATTATTTTTATTTATGTATTTATTTATTTATTGAGATAGAGTCTCACTCTGCCACCCAGGCTGGAGTGCAGTGGTGTGATCTTGGCTCACTGCAACCTCTGCCTCCTGGGTTCAAGCAACTCTCCTGCCTCAGCCTCCCAAGTAGCTGAGACTACAGGCGGTCACCACCTTGCCTGGCTAATTTTTGTATTTTAGTAGAGACGGGCTTTTGGCATATTGGCCAGGCTGGTCTCGAACTCCTGACCTCAGGTGATCCGCCTGCCTCAGCCTCCCAAAGTACTGAGATTACAGGCATGAGTCACAGTGCCTGGCCTATTAGAAGACTTATAAAAACAAAACCTTTTACTGTTCGATGCAGGAAATTCAGTTTTCCAGTCAAATGACCCAAGAAAGACAGCATGAGAAAAACCCATCTCTACTCTCCCTCTTTTTAAATTAATTCAAAAGGTGAATAAAAATAGGTTATTGTGTTATAGTAATAATACACAAAATTTTTGTTCAAGAGAAAATCAACTTATACTTTTGTATTAGTGTGCTATCAATACTAAAGCTAATTTTGACCAGGCGCAGTGGCTCACGCCTGTAATCCCAACACTTTGGGAGGTCGAGGCAGGCAGATCACCTGAGGTAAGGAGTTTGAGACCAGCCTGGCTAACATGTGAAACCCCGTCCCTACTAAATTACAAAAATTAGCCTGGCATGGTGGCAGGTGCCTGTAGTCCCAGCTACTTGGGAGGCTCAAGCAGGGGAATCACTTGAACCCAGGAAGTGGAAGTTGCAATGGGCCAAGATTGCACCACTGCACTCCAACCTGGGTGACACAGCAAGACTCCATCTCAAAAAATAAAAATTAAAATTTTAAAATTTTAAAAAAATTAAAAGCTAATTTTCATAAAACTTTATAAATAAATCCATCAAATATATCATTTTGACCACTCTAGATTTCCATACATAGCTTATACTTTTTTTAATTACTTTTTTTTTTATTTGGAGTTTCACTTTTATTGCCCAGGCTGGAATGCAATGGTGCAATCTCGGCTCACTGCAACCTCTGCCTCCCGGGTTCAAGATATTCTCCTGCCTCAGCCTTCCAAGTAGCTGGGATTACAGGCAAGCGCCACCATGTCCGGCTAATTTTGTATTTTTAGTAGAGATTCGGTTTCTCCATGTTGGTCAGGCTGGTCTCCAACTCCCAACGTCAGGTGATCCACCTGCCTCGGCCTCCCGAAATGCTGGGTTTACAGGCATGAGCCACCACACCCGACCTTTTTTAAATTACTTTTAAAAGTTTCTGTATTTTATTTTTATCTACATTCTTTTTATTTTTTCAATTTGAGACAATTTAAGTAATTTCAAACTAGACAAAATATTTTTGGCTTTCTTCATTGAAAGTATATTTTTCTTATGTTTGCTCACTATGTGGAAGTATTTTTCTTAGATCCGGTAGTTTTAATTATATATATTAATTACATTAACTCTTAAAAACCTAATTTTTTTTGTGAAATCTTTAGGAAGTAATTTAGAACTGTTTGGTATCAGTATTTGTAGACAAAAACCATTTTACATTTTTAATAGGAGACGTTTTTTCAAATTCTCTGTTAACTAGCAGATCTAAATATGTTTAGCTTTTCTATATCATATAAAAATAAGATTCTGGTCAGGCACGATGGCTCACGTTTGTGATCCCAGCATTTTGAAAGGCCAAGGCACAAAGACTGCTTAAGCCCAGGAATTGGAAGCAAGCCTGGGCAACATGGCAAAACCCCATGTCTACAAAAAATACAAAATTAGCTCGGCATCATTACCTGCACCTGTAGTACCAGTTAACCAGGAGGCTGAGGTAGAATTGCCTGAGCCCAGGAGGCCGAGACTGCAGTGAGCCATGATCAAGCCACTTCACTCCTTCCTTGATGACAGAGACTCTTTTTTAAAAAATTAAATGCCAAAGCATATAAAATTAATTTTATGGGACTTTGGGGGCGGGGGGTTGTTTTTATTATTATCTCAACAGCTTTGTGGCTATGGGTGGTGTTTGATTACATGAAAAAGTTTTTTAGTGGTGATTTCTGAGATTTTAGTGCACCTATAGCCCAAGCAGTGTACACAGTACCCAATGTGTAGTCTTTTATCCCTTTCCCCCTTCCTGTTCTTTCCCCCAAGCCTCTAGAGTCCATTATATAATTCTTCTTCTTCTTCTTCTTCTTTTTTTTTTTTTTGAGTTTCACTCTTGTTGCCCAGGCTGGAGTGCAATGGCACGATCTTGCCTCACTGCAACCTCTGCCTTCCAGGTTCAAGCGCTATCTTGTCTCAGCCTCCCAAGCAGCTGGGATTACAGGCATGTGCCACCACGCCTGGCTAATTTTGTATTTTCAGTAGAGACGGGGTTTCTCCATGTTGGTCAGGCCAGTCTCGAACTCTCAACCTCAGGTGATCCACCCGCCTTGGCCTCCCAAAGTGCTGGGATTACAGGCGTGAGCCACCGCACCCTCCCCATTATATAATTCTTAAGCCTTTACATCCTTATAGCTTAGCTCCCACATATAAATGAGAATATATGGTGTTCAATTTTCTATTCCTGAGTTACTTCACTTACAATAATAATCTCCAACTCCACCAAGGTTGCTGTGAATGCCATTATTTTGTTCCTTTTTGTGGCTGAGTAGTATTCTATGGTATATATACACCACATTTTCTTTGTCCACTCATTGGTTGATGGGCATTTAGCCTGCTTCCCAACATTTGCAATTTTTCAATTGCAAATTCTGCTGCTATAAACATGCATGTGCAAGTGTCTTTTTCAAACAATGACTTATTTTTCTCTGTGTAGATACCCAGTAGTGGGATTGCTGGATCAAATGGAAGTTCTACTTTTAATTCATTTAGAAATCTCCAGACTGTTTTTGATAGTACTTGTACTAGTTTATATTCCCATCAGCAGTGTAAAAGTGTACCCTTTGAACTACATCAATACCAACATCTGTCATTTTTTGATTTTTTTGATTATGGCCATTCTTGCAGGAGTAAGGTGATATCACATTGTGGTTTGATTTTTAGTTCTCAGATCATTAGTGATGTTGAGCACTTTTTAAAATGTTTTTTAACCATTTGTATATCTTCTTTTGAGAATTGTTTACTCATGTGCTAAGCCCACTTTTTTATAGGATAGTTTGTGGGGTTTTTTGCTCATTTGTTTGAGTTTCTTGTAGAAACTTTGTCAGTTTTTTGTCAGATGCATAGTTTGTGAATATTTTCTCCCACTTTGTGTGTTGTTTGTTTACTCTTCTGATTATCATTATTATTATTTTGCTGAGCAGAAGCTTTTTAGTTTAATTAAGTCACATTTATTGATCTTTGTTTTTGTTGTATTTGTTTTTGGGTTTTTGGTCATGAAATCTCTGCCTAAGCCAATGTGTAGAAGAGTTTTTCCCAATGTTTTCTTGTAGAACTTTTGTAGTTTCAAGTTTTCCATTTAAGTCTTTGATCCATCTTGGGTTGATTTTTGCATAAAGTGAGCAATGAAGATCCAGTTTTATTCTTCTAGATGTGGCTTGCTAATTATCTCAGCAGCATTTGTTGAATAGGATGTCTTTTCCCTACTTCATGTTTTTGTTTAGTTTGTAGAAGATCAGTTGGCTGAAAGTATTTGGCTTTATTTCTTTATTCACTATTCTGTTCCATTGGTCTATTTGCCTATGTTTATACCAGTACCATGCTGCTTTGGTAACAATAGTCTCCTAGTATACTTTGACGTCAGATAATGTGATGTCTCAAGATTTGTTCTTTTTGCTTAGTCTTGTTTTGGCTATGCAGGCTTTTTTATTTTTCTATATGAATTTTAGGATTGTGTTTTCTAGTTCTGTGAGGAATGATGGTGGTATTTTGACAAGAATGGCATGAATTTGTAGATTGCTTCTGGCACTATGATCATTTTCACAATATTGACTCTACTCATCCATGAATATGGGATGTATTTCCACTCGTTTGTATCATCTTTGATTTCTTTCAGGAGTGTTTTGTAGTAGTCCTTGTAGAGGTCTTTCACCTCTTTGGTTAAGTATATTCCTAAGTATATTTTTTCTGCAGCTGATGTAAAGTGGTTGAGTTCTTGCCTTTATTCTCAGCTTGGTCACTGTTGGTGTATACCTGCAATATTGATTTGTGTACATTCATTTTGTATCCTGAAACTTTAGTAAATTTATTTCTCAAATCTAGGAGCTTTTTGAATGAGTCTTTAGGGTTTTCTAGGTATACAATTATATCATTGACAAGCAGTGACAGTTTGACTTCCTCTTTGCCAATTTGGATGCCCTTTATTTCTTTTTCTTTTTTGAGAAGGAGTCTCACTCTGTCACCAGGCTGGAGTGTAGTGGTGCAATCTGGGCTCACTGCAACCTCCACCTTCCAGGTTCAAGTGATTCTCCTGCCTCAGCCTCCCGAGTAGCTAAGACTACACGCATGCGCCACCATACCCAGCTGATTTTTGTGTTTTTAGTAGAGACGGAATTTCGCCATGTTGACCAGGTTGGTCTTGATCTTTTGACTTCATTATCTGCCCGCCTTGGCCTCCCAAAGTGCTGGGATTACAGGCATGAACCACTGCTCACTTATACTTTGCCTTGCTATATCTTTATTCTGTATGAATGTTAACAGAATTATAGATAGACCTGGCTATAGATATATGTAAGTACATAAACACACACATACAGGATTATATTAGTTTGTATATGTAAATATTTATGCATACAAAAGATGTTCATCAATAGACATTTCTAATTTTCCAGCCTAACCTGAGGACACAGATGAAGACTTACTTTTCACCTATATGCCTTTATACCATCTCAGATTGGAACACAGCCATAAAGTGTTATGTATAAACATGAAGAAACTTCATGTTTATGAGCATGGCCTGTGAAGTAATACATTCGTAGTGTGACGTAAGGCTTTATGTCTGGCTTAGCATTTTAGATCCTTACTTTTCTTCTCAGGGTATGCCTGTGTTATTCACAACCATCATTTTGAGCCTGCCTTGATGTCTACACTTTTCCAGTTTAGCTAATCAGTTGGTTATATTTACCTGATCTGACCTAATTGGCTTTTTGCAATCACACAGGCTGAGGTAATTTGCTTATTTAACTTATCTGGGATGCAGGGGTAGAAATGAAGATGACCTCTGTCCTATATGGGACATATGCACAAATAAACTTGACCTATACATACATATGTGACTCATTCTTTGTGTGTATGTTTGTCTATCAACCTATCTTATATCCATATTTACATTTACAGAAAAAAGGCACTGAAGTAAACTTGGTAAAAGGTAATTTCTATTTTCTTTACTTCCAGGCTACATAAATCCAATCAGATGGTTAGCTCAGTGAAGATTTATAAAATCCAAGCCAAAAGCCACACTTTTTTTTTCATAAATGTGAAAATGTCCTTGTTACCTGGCACCCAGGTCTTTTTATTTGTGAATCTCAATAAATCAGCCTAGTGGGTTTCTGTCCAGTTAAAAAAAAAAAAAAAAAAAAAGCAGGAATGCTTGACATCAGTAAGACTATCCTTACTCAGAAAGAAGTTTTGGCCTGGCCAATAAGGGCCACAATTGGCACTTCTGTGAATGTTCACTATGGTCTGGTTGAAATGTGTTCTGGTACCATGAACAATTAATTACATTTGCTTTCAGTATGATGGTCTATCTTCCAGAAAGAGTGCTAGACTCTATCCGTTACCATAATGACACTACTTCAGCCACAGAGATGAAGAGACCAAATTGTACTTTTACGTTACATACTCATAAAAATGAAGTTGATCCCATGTCTTAAAGAAAGCCCAGATGAGAAAAAATAAGCATTTCACAATTTAGGTGAGAACCTTAGGACTGGGGCTGGTTCACCTCTGGCCATATGTGCAACATGAAGGGAAGGGTCAACCTTGACATGGCAGTGAATGACTCCCATTGGTTAGTGCATGTTCATTTTCCAGGAGTGAGCAAAAAAGACCAGTGCTTCCTTCGTATATGTTAAATGCAGCAGGATGTATGCCACAACATTCTTCTATTCGTGTACTCTTCTAGATCTAGTTTACAGGGCAAATAGATTTATACATGTATAGAAGTTACTTTGTTGGAGATGGGGACAGAGTCTTGCTGTGTCACCCAGGCTAGAGTGCAGTGGCAGAATCTTGGCTCACTGCAACCTCTGCCTCCCGGGTTCAAGTGACTCTCCTACCTCAGCTTCTGGAGTAGCTGGGACTACAGGCAAGTGCCACCACACCAGGCTAATTTTTGTATTTTTAGTAGAGACAGAGTTTCACCATATTGGCCAGGCTGGTCTCGAACTCCTGACCTCATGATGCATGCACCTCAGCCTCGCAAAGTGCTGGGATTACAGGCATGAGTCACCATTCCTGGGCAGGTAAATAGATTTTTAAAACTTACATAAAGGATTATATGAGTATATTTATGTAAATATTTATGTATACAAGAAATGTTCCCCAATAGACCATTTTCAATCACTTGGCATATACTAATTATACAGACATATACTTACTTTCAATCTCTTTTGCTCAGTAGCATTTTAGAACCAAACATAGCCATATAATATTGTTTGTATAAACATAAAAAAAATTCACCTTCAGTAGCATAGGCCTCAGAAATAAGCTGACAGCAAAGTCACGTTATACAGGCTGTTAAGTTTGGCACTTCAGGGCCCTGCATTCCTTCTCAATGTAGGTATGTGCTTTTCACATCCAGTAGCTTGGGCCTGCTTTGATAAACCTGCAGTCACTATTCAGATAATTGGCTGATTGCATCTAACTAGGCTAAGAAAATTGGATGAATGGAATCACCTTGGGCTAATCTAATTGGCTAATTAGATTCACCTTTACAGATATAATTGGCTAACTGGTATCACTTGGGCTCATTTAATTGGCTGATTGGAATTTCATTGGGCTAACCTAATTGGCTAATTGGATTCACCTGTACTGATATAATTGACTAATTGGTATCACTTGGGCTCCTTTAATTGGCTGATTGGAATCACCTGGGCTGAGCTAACTGGCTGAGTAGAATCACATGGGCTGAGTTCATTGACTGCGTCTTGAGGAGAATGAGTAAGGTAATGACCTCTTACATATTTTTCTTTTGGGGGGCTTTTTTTCAAGACATACTCACAAATAGACATTAATTAGACATATGATATAAGCTTTTGTGTTTGTATCTGTTTTCCTATATACATGTCTTATATCTGTTTCTAAATCTACAGAAGAAAGTGTCCGGCTGGATGCGGTGGCTCATGCCTGTAATCCCAGCACTTTGGAAGGCCGATGTGGGTTGATCACTTCAGGTCAGGAGTTTGAGACCACCCTGACCCACATGGTGAAACCCCATCTCTACTAAAAATACAAAAATTAGCCAGGCACAGTGGCAGGCACCTGTAGTCCCAGCTACCTGGGAGGCTGAGGCAGGAGAATTGCTTGAACCTGGGAGGTGGAGGTTGCAGTGAGCCGAGATAATTGCACCACTGCACTCCAGCCTGGTGACAGAGTGAGAGTCTGACTCAAAAAAACAAAGACAAAACAAAACAAAAAACCAATGGTTACTTTGTATAAGTTAAATGCCAATGGATTTAGGTAAGAGCATACATCCATTTGAGGAGTATTCTAGGTATATTTCATAGAGCAGAAAATTTTATACCTCTATGGAATTATCTTTGTATATTACTAATGATATCAACAATCAACAGTTTCACCTTCTACATCATTATTTTTTGTGAATATAGATACAAACCTGGATACATCTGCATATAGTTAGACAGATAAATACACACATACAGAGTTATATAAGTACACTTATGTAAATGTCTATTAATATAGAAGATGCTCAGCAAATGACATTTTTAATACCTTAGTATATACTAAGAATTCAGATGTGGACTTACTAGTATACTTTATGGCACAATAGAAATCCAAAATGGAACATAACCATACAATGATGTTTACAGATACATAAACAAAGATACACATTCAAAGGCAAGGTCTTGGAAATAAGCTGATAATACAGCAATGTAATCCTTTATGACCAGATTAGCATGTCTGGGCTCTGCTTTTTTTCTCAGTGTAGAAAAGTGCTATTTACTTCCACCATTTTGACTTAATGAATCTATAGTCACTATTTAGATTGTTGTCTGATTTGATCCACCTGTACAGAACTATTTGCCTTATTGGAATCAACTAACCTGAGCTAATTGGTTAATTAGATACTTCTGAACTGAGCTAATTGAATGATTGGAGTCACAGTTTCAACTAACTGGCTGCTTGGATTCTCTAGAACATAGCTAATTTCCTGATTAAAAGCACATGAGCTAGCCAAGTGCTGGGGCTCACAACTGTAATCCCAGCACTTTGGGAGGCCGAGGTGGGTGGAACACCTGAGGTCAGGAGTTCAAGACCAGCCTGACCAAAATGGAGAAACCTTGTCTCTACTAAAAATACAAAATTAGCTGGGTGTGGTGGCGCATGCCTGTAATCCCAGCTACATGGGAGGCTGAGGCAAGAGAATCACTTGAACCCAGGAGGCAGAGGTTGCAGTGAGCTGAGATTGTACCATTGCACTCCAGCCTGGGCAACAAGAGCGAAACACTGTCTCAAAAAAAAAAGGAAAGAATAAGAATTATACAATGAACTCCAGAGGCTTGGGGAAAAGAAAGAGATGGGAGAAAGGGATAAAAGACTACACATTTGGTACAGTGTACACTGCTTGGGATATGGGTGCACTAAAATCTCAGAAATCACCACTGAAAAACTTTTATGTAATCAAACACCACCTGTAGCCACAAAGCTGTTGAGATAATAATAAAAACAAGCCCCAGCCCCCAAAGTCCAATAAGTTCTACTTTATCTGCTTTGGCATTTAATTTTTTAAAAAAGAGTCTCTGTCATTGAGGATGGAGTGAAGTGCCTTTATCATGGCTCACTGCACTCTCAATCTCCTGGGCTCAGGCAATTCTCCTACCTCAGCCTCCTGGGTAGCTGGTACTACCGGTGTAGGTAACCATGCTGAGCTAATTTTTGTATTTTTTGTAGACATGGGGTTTTTCCATGTTGCCCAGGCTTGCCTCGAATTCCTGGGCTTAAGCAATCTTTGTGTCTTGGCCTTTCAAAATGCTGGGATTACAAGCATGAGCCACCATGCCTGACCAGAATCTTATTTTTATATGATATAGAAAAGCTAATCATATTTAGATCTGCTAATTAACAGAGAATTTGGAAAAAAACTTCTATTAAAAATATAAAATGGTTTTTGTCTACAAATACTGATGCCAAACACTCCAAAATTACTTCCTAGGGATTTCACTAAAAATTAGGTTTTTAAGAGTTAATGTAATTAATATATATAATAAAAACTACTAGATCTAAGAAAAACAATTCTGCATAAAGAGTGTGTAAAAAAAGCAAAAATTTGCTTTTCATGAAGAAAGTTAAATATATTGGGGTCAAATGCCCCAATTAAAAGACACAGACTGGCAAATTGGATAAAGAGTAAAGACCCATTGGTGTGCTGTATTCAGGAGATGCATCTCATGTGCAAAGACACACATAGGCTCAAAATAAAGGGATGGAGGAAGATCTACCAAGCAAATGGAAAGCAAAAAAAAAAAGCAGGGGTTGCAATCCTGGTCTCTGATAAAACAGACTTTGAACCAACAAAGATCAAAAGAGACAAAGAAGGCCATTACATAATGGTAAAGAGATCAATTCAACAAGAAGAGCTAACTATCCTAAATATATATGCACCCAATACAGGAGCACCCAGATTCATAAAACAAGTCCTTAGAGACCTACAAAGAGACTTAGACTCCCACACAATAATAATGGGAGACTTTATCATCCCACTGTCAATATTAGACAGGTCAATGAGACAGAAAATTAACAAGGATATCCAGGACTTGAACTCAGCTCTGGGCCAAGCAGACCTCATAGACATCTACAGAACTCTCCACCCCAAATCAAGAGAATATACATTCTTCTCAGCACCGCATTGCATTTATTCTAAAATTGACCACGTAATTGGAAGTAAAACACTCCTCAGCAAATGTAAAAGAACAGAAATCACAACAAACTGTCTCTCAGACCACAGTGCAATCAAATTAGAACTCAGGATTAAGAAATTCACTCAAAACCACACAACTACATGGAAACTGAACAACTTGCTCCTGAATGACTACTGGGTAAATAACTAAATGAAGGCAGAAATAAAGTGTTCTTTGAAATCAGTGAGAACAAAGACACAATGTATCAGAATCTCTGGGACACATTTAAAGCAGTGTGTAGAGAGAAATTTATGGCATTAAATGCCCACAAAACAAAGCAGGAAAGATCTAAAATCGATACCCTAACATCACAATTAAAAGAATAGAGAAGCAAGAGCAAACAAATTCAAAAGCTAGCAGAAGACAAGAAATAACTAAGATCAGAGCAGAAATGAAGGAGATAGAGACAAAAAAAAAACCTTTAAAAAATCGATGAATCCTGGAGGTGGTTTTTTGAAATGATCAGCAAAATAAGACCACTAGCTAGACTAATAAAGAAGAAAAGAGAGAAGAACCAAATAGATGAAATAAAAAATGATAAAAGGGATATCACCACTGATCCCATAGAAATTCAAACTGTCATCAGAGAATGCTATAAACACCTCTACACAAATAAACTACAAAATTTAGAAGAAATGGATAAATTCCTGGACATTTACATTCTCCCAAGTCTAAACTAGGAAAGAGTTGGATCTCTGAATAGACCAATAACAGGTTCTGAAATTGAGGCAATAATTAATAGCCTACCCACCAAAAAAGTCCAGGACCAGACAGATTCACAGCTGAATTCTTCCAGAAGCACAAAGAGGAGCTGGTACCATTTCTTCTGAAACTATTTCCATCAATAGAAGAAGAGGGAATCTTCCCTAACTCATTTTATGATGTGAGCATCATCCTGATACAAAAGCCTGACAGAGACACAACAAAAAAAGAGAATTTTAGGTCAATATCCCTGATGAACATCGATGTGAAAATCCTCAGTAAAATACTGGCAAACCTAATCCAGCAGCACATCAAAAAGCTTATCCACCACAATCAAGTTGGCTTCATCTCTGGGATGCAAGGCTGGTTCAACATATGTAAATCAATAAAGGTAATCCATCACATTAACAGAACCAATGAAAAAAAACCACATGATTATCTCAGTAGATGCAGAAAAGTCCTTCAAAAATATTCAACAATGCTTCAAGCTAAAAACTCTCAATAAACTAGGTATTGATGGAACATATCTCAAAATAATAAGAACTATTTATGACAAACCTACAGTTTGTCATATCATACTGAATGGGCAAAAACTGGAAGCATTCCCTTTGAAAACAGGCAAAAGACAATGATTATTTCGCTCTCCACTCCTATTCAACATAGTATTGGAAGTCCTGGCCAGGGCAATTGGCAAGAGAAAGAAATAAAAGGTATTCAATTAGGAAAAGAGGAGGTCAAATTGTCTCTGTTTGCAGATGACACTGTATATTTAGAAAACCCCATCATCTCAGGCTAAAACCTGCTGAAGCTGATATGCAACTTCAGCAGTCTCAGGATACAAAATCAATGTGCAAAAATCACAAGCATTCCTATACACCAAAAACAGACAAACAGAGAGCCAAATCATGAGTGAACTCCCATTCACAATTACTACAAAGAGAATAAAATACCTAGGACTCCAGCTTTCAAAGGATGTGAAGAACCTCTTCAAGGAGAACTACAAACTGCTGCTCAATGAAATAACAGAGGACACAAACAAATGGAAGATCATTCCATGCTCATGGATAGGAAGAATCAATATCGTGAAAATGGCCATACTGCCTAAGGTAATTTATAGATTCAATGCTATCCCCATCAAGCTACCAATGACTTTCTTCACAGAATTGGAAAAACTACATTAAATTTCATATGGAACCAAAAAAGAGCTCGCATAGCCAAGACAATCCTAAGCAAAAAGAACAAAGCTGGAGACATCACACTACCTGACTTCAAACTATACTATAAAGCTACAGTAATCAAGATGACATGGTACTGGTACTAAAACAGAAATATAGACCAATGGAACAGAACAGAGACCTCAGAAATAGCACCACACATCTACAACCACCTGATCTTTATGAACCTGACAAAAACAAGCAATGGGGAAAGGATTCCCTATTTAATAAATGGTGCTGGGAAAACTGGCTAGCCATATGTAGAAAGCTGAAACTGGATCCCTTCCTTACACCTTACACAAAAATTAACTGAAGATGGAATAAAGACTTAAATGTAAGAGCTAACACTGTAAAAACTCTAGAAGAAAACCTAGGCAATACCATTCAGGACATAGGCATGGGCAAAGGCTTCGTAAATAAAACACCAAAAGCAATGGCAACAAAAGCAATAATAGACAAATGGGATCTAAGTAAACTAAAGAGCTTCTGCACAGTGAAAGAAACTATCATCAGAGTGAACAGGCAACCTACAGAATGGGAGAAAAATTTTGCAATCTACCCATCTGACAAACGGCTAATATCCCGAATCTACAAAGAACTTAAACAAATTTACAAGAAAAAAACAAACAACCTCATCAAAAAGTGGGCAAAGGATATGAACAGATGCTTCTCAAAAGAAGACATTTACGCAGCCAACAGATATATGAAAAAATGCTCATCATCACTGGTCATTACAGAAATGCAAATCAAAACCACAATGAGATACCATCTCATGCCAGTTAGAATGGTGATAATTAAAAAGTCAAGAAACAACAGATATTGGAGAGGATGGGGAGAAATAAGAATGCTTTTACACTGTAGGTGGGAGTGTAAATTAGTTCAACCACTCTGGAAGACAGTGTAGTGATTCCTCAAGGATTTAAGACTAGCCACACCATTTAACTCAGCAATCCCATTACTGGGTATATACCCAAAGGATTATAAATCATGCTACTATAAAGACACAGCACACGCATGTTTATTTTGGCACTATGCAATATACCAAAGACTTGGAACCAACCCAAATGTCCATCAATAATAGACTGGATAAAGAAAATGTGGCACATACACACCATGGAATACTACGCAGCCATAAAAAAGAATGAGTTCATGTCCTTTGCAGTGACATGGATAAAGCTGTAAACCATCACTCTAAGCAAACAATCACAAGGACAGAAAACCACACACCGCATGTTCTCACTCATAGGTGGGAGTTGAACTATGAGAACACATGGACACAGGGTGGGGAACATCAAACACTGGAGCCTGTCAGGGGGTTGGGGGCTGGGGGAGGGATAGCATTAGGAGAAATACCTAATGTAAATGACGAGTTGATGGGTGCAGCAAACCAACATGGCCCATGTATACCTATGTAACAAACCTAGAACTTAAGTACCCTAGAACTTAAAGTATTATAAAAAAGAGAAAAATGCATTGCAAAACCAAAAAAAGAGAAAAATACCAAGCCAAACACTCAATCTGGATGAATAGAGAATAAAAAAATATTTACAGAAACTAAGAAGTTTCTCCTCAAACTTTCTTAGGATGTTACTGGATGATTTTCTTAAGCAAAATGAGGAGGCTAAGAATGTGGAAGACATGGGATCCAAAGAAAGGTGGATCCAGGGTGACCGAGAGAAGGAGGAGTGCCAGGATGCAGCTTTGGAGCAGGCCTGGAAGCAGCACTCCAGACAGAAGGAAGAAAACAGAGGCTCCAACAAGGAGACATTTTGTAAAAAATGGTGTTTCATAGATTTCATATGATCCCTAGGAAGATAGAACTACTTAAAAACATATTAAAGACAATATGAAGAAGTAAGAAGAGAATTAGAAACTCCAGAAAAATCCAAATAGCTATACAAAACCCACAAAATTAATCCTAAACAAGGGCTTGGTTCTGCAGCAAATAGTACTTGGAAGAGGAATAACAAACAAAACATGATTCACTTCCTGCTTTCATAATAAACCATAGATAAAGGACAGAAGACAGGTATCATCTTGGAAAGGAATGCAAATATTATCAACCCTGACAGTTTGCAAGGTTGAGATTTAAAAAATATTATCTCTGCAAATAAGGTCAGGTGATCTTTGAAACATTAGTAAATTAGAGAATAAACTTTATCTCAACTAGAGAAGAGGTATTTCCTATAGTTGCTGTAAAAAGAAATATAATGGTGAACATTTATTTAAAGTTACAAAAGTAATTAATAGAAAAACAAAAAAAGTAGGCAAAGAATCATACTGGCAGGAGTATTAAGGGAAGGCTTGGGATGATATAAGGAAGTTAAATCTTTTGTCAGAATAGCGCGTCAGTAAATGCTATTTCAAATTAATCAAGGAATATAGTGCAATAACAGATTAAAGGTGGATGATAATCAGAAATATAAGTTTAGAAATCTTTTTTTTGTGTGTGGGAGTGGGGACAGAATCTTGCTCTATCCCCCAGGCTGGAGTGCCTTGGCATAATCTTGGCTTACTACAACTTCTGCCCCCCAGGCTCAAGCCTTTCTCTCACCTCAGCCTCCTGAGTAGCTGCAATTACAGGCATGCACCATCACACCCAGCTAATTTTCAAATTTTTTGTAGAGGTGGGGTTTCACCATGTTGACCAGGCTGGTCTCAAACTCCTGACCTCAAGTGACCTGCCTTCCAAAGTGCCGGGATTACAGGAACGAGCCACCATGCCCAGCCTAGAAATAGTTTTAAGAGTTAAATAGTGTTACTGATATAGTTTGGATATTTGTCCCTTCCAAATCTCATGTTGAAATGTAATCCCCAGTGTTGGCGGTGAGGCCTGGTGGGAGGTGTTTCACCTTCTGCCGAGTAAAGCTCCCTGAGGCCTCACCAGAAGCTGAGCAGATGCTGGCACCACATTTCTTGTGCAGGCTGCAGAACCAGGAGTCAATTAAACCTCTTTTCTTTATAAATTATCCAGCCTCAGATATTTCTCTGTAGCAATGCAGAAAAGGCCAAACACAGTTAGCCTGTACGAAAAGAGGTTAGAGACTGTTAGGCATGGGGCAGGAAGTTTATTTTTCATTTTAATCTCTCTATTCGATTTAATTTTCCAAAACATATGAATAGATACATTTGATCAAAAACTTAAATACAAGCACTTTCTAAGAGTTGGAGTTAAAATAACTGATACCCATTTGTTTCCGTGGCTGGTCTTGTGTAATGAAGACAGGGAGCATTTGCCAGCAGGATCGCAGAGAGACTTTACAGGCCTACCTGGGAATTAGGTAATCACCAGGCCATGTTTGACTCTGAGATAAGTTTTCTCCAAGATTTGTAAGCTCCAAAACCCACAATATCATTTCAGGCTATCCTCAAATTCTTTCACTGATACAAAAATTAGGTAATAATTCACATTTGTATGTAAAGGTAGGAGTGGGTGATGTAAAAGACTTACCAGAAATGAGTTTATTGCTAAAAAATTTTGCAGCAGTTGAGAAATTTCTGACCTCTTCTTATTGAATGGCCTTGTCTCATGCTTTGATATTTCTCATAGGCCATAGTTGGCATCTTTAATGCCCTAGGGCAAACTTCAAGAACTCTAGAGTTATTGTAAATTAGCTATTGCAAGCATACGACTGTTCTGGTCATTCAAAGTAATCCTGTCTTCAGTTAGAGCAAATAGGAGAAAAATGATGTTTTACTGAATGCTTAGCCTGTTTGTAATTATCACCAAACTTGTAAGACACAAGGTTATAATAGCCTTCTATTTTGTAAACAAAAGTGAGGACAAATAATTAGTCATAGGATAGAAATACAATCAATTTTCCATAACACTGAAGTTTGTGTACCTTCTAGTATCTTGCTCTTCACTCTCTACAAAGCTGCTTCACAACTGAATCAAACCAAACAAACAGGGCAGCTGGACTGGTTTTCTGGTGGTGGCAGTGGGTGGGGGTGAGTTCTCTGGCATGGAAGCTTTCAGGCATAAGCTCCAAGACCATTCTTTTTCAGGTTGTTTTAGAGAAGGTTCAAGGACAAGTGGGTTGGAATTGGGCTCTGGGACCTCTCCTAACAATGGGATTGTATTTATGATATCTCAAGAGTACGCTCAAAGAAAAATGCTTTGGATCCTCCAAGTAGGATGTGAGGTGATAAACTCAAAGTCATACTCCCATTTGATAAAAACAAACAAAACAAACAAAAAACAACTTAACTTGAACCCAAGTTTTGTAGGTCTCAGCCTTGAGTCTTCATATTGTGCTAATTTCCAGAGCAAATAAGTTGCTCCCAAGCACATTGGGGCTGGTAGTTCTGTTATAGGAAGAGGGACTTAGAAATTCTAATGAAAAGCAGTGCTGGGATCGAAAGAATCAACTCAGGAAATCTCAGAAATTATTTATCTCTTGATTTGTCATTGCCTAGGCTGTCTTTGCACATAGCTAACAGGAACCTGAAGAGGAGCCATCTCGCAAATGACAGCCAGAGGAGAGACTTGGAATTTGGCATGAGCTTTAATGGAGATATTCTGCAATTTATGGTTTTGGCAAGTGGAGACTGAAGGTAAAATAAATACGTTACAGCTTTTGAGAACAAATATTTTTTCATAAGTTTCCTCTGGCAGTTAATTTGTCTTTGACAGATTACTCTCAAAGTAATGGAGATGAATAGAAATGACTTTACCCAGAATGGCCTTATTATGATGCATAATCCTTTTAATGTCTCACTTTATAGGGCCTAGAATCTTTAGGATTTGGCAACAGAGACCTAATCAGGACTGTCTCTCCTTTTTTTGGAAAAAAAAAAAAAACAACCTAGTAAGTCTTTTTTTTAAAGTCAAAGTGCCATCAAACCTATGGTCTAATTATCTTCATAAGCAAAGAGACACCTGCTTGCATAGGGATGAGACTATTGCAAGAATTAATATGTTTTCCAATTTTTAAATAAAATGAACTAATGGAACCCAACATCTCATTAATGGTCAGAGTTAGGGCCATATATAAGATTAGATTCCACCAAATTCTGGCTCATATACGGTTACCTAAATGGCTATTTCTTTGTATTTTCCAAACTAGACAAGGTCATTGAGTTGTCATCTCAATAGACAATTAAATATCTAAGGTCAATGCTTCACTGTTTTTTTGGAAGATAGATTTTAGTTTGCCATAAAGTGTCAAAGAGAAACCAGCTGGATCTGAGTAATCTTAGATACATGTGGCCCATGCTGGATGTACTCTTAAAGCTTTCTTGAAGAGTAAGAAATTTTCCTAAGATTTTTATGGGCTTTTAAAATGTTTTAATGACATCCCCACCTCTTCAACAACCTTCTGTTTTACAAGTTACTTCCAGTATAACAGGCATTTCTATTTGGTGGTTTCCAGGTAGGAAAAATGATAGACTTAATTTCTCTTGCTCTTGGCAACTATTCTCTTTCCACAGAACTCTGGCCAGCTGGTTTACACCAACCTTCTTTTGTTTGCTGATATTTCCACCACCTGCTGGTTGCCCTTATATTCTCTGGTTGACACTATAGGTACTATTAGTTTGAAGATGTTAAGTGTTTGAAGCTTCTGATTTTACTTTATTTCTGTATATTATTTACCCTTAGGACTCATGATTCTACAAAGTGGAAAGGAATAATGATATTTTGATAGACTCCATGAATTCAAGCAGTGATCCCAAATCTCATAGCTTGTATCAGTGAGGCTTCTTACACACAAGTCAATTTTCTGACCTTTGTAGAATCAACTAGCTGCCTTTTAGCTTACACTCTTTAAGAATATGATTTTTAAAATCTTTTTTTATTATTATACTTTAAGTTCTAGGGTACATGTGCCCAATGTGCAGGTTTGTTACATAGGCATACATGTGCCAGGTTGGTTTGCTGCACTCATCAATTCATCATTTACATTATGTATTTCTCCTAATGCTATCCCTCCCCCAACCCCCCACCTCCCAACAGGCACCAGTGAGTGATGTTTCCCTCCCTGTTCCATGTGTTCTCATTGATTAACTCCCCTTATGAGTGAGAACATATGGTGTTTGGTTTTCAATCCTTGTGATAGTTTGCTGAGAATGATGGTTTCCAGCTTCATCCATATCCCTGCAAAGGACATGAACTCATGCTTTTTTATGGCTGCACAGTATTCCATGGCGTATATGTACCACATCTTCTTTATCCAGCCTATTATTGATGGACATTTGGGACGGTTCTAAGTATTTGCTATTTTGAATAGTGCCACAATAAACATACATGTGCATGTGTCTTTATAGTAGCATGATTTATAATCCTTTTGGTATATACCCAGTAATGGGATGGCTGGGTCAAATCATATTTCTAGTTCTAGATCCTCATGGATCTAGAACTTATATACATATATATAATTACTTTCAATCTCTTTTGCTCAGTAGCATTTCAGAATTGATATATAATTACAGATATATAATTACTTTCAATCTCTTTTGCTCAGTAGCATTTCAGAATTGAACATAGACATACAATATTATAAACATAAAAAATCCTTAATCTTCAGTAGCATAGGCCTCAGAAATAAGCTGACACTAAGTCAGGTTACTCATGCAGTTCAGGTTTGCACTTCAGGACCCTGCATTCCTTCTCAATGTTTGTATGTGCTTTTCACATCCACTAGTTTGGGCCTGTTTTGATAAACCTGTAGTCACTATTTAGATAATTGGCTCATTGGATCTAACTAGACTAAGAAAATTGGCTGAATGGAATTACCTTGTGTTAATCTAATTGGCTAATTAGATTCACCATTCTTGGGAGAAAAGCTGGGTGTTGGGAGAGAAGCTGAGGCAGGGCTTGCATGTCTGACATAATGTAAAAAGTCTTGGAACATGTCCATGGTCCAGGGTCTAAAACCCCTTGTGGTCTTTGGAACACCAAGCTCTGTGCTAAAGGATGGAAGGCTACCCTGACACACCATAATCTAAGCCCAGGGCATAAAATCCCTCGTGGCTTGGATAGAATCCAGAGGGCTAATGGCTCTGGAATGTGTCTAGACATGCTGGCTCCTGGCTCCTTGCTCTCCCAAGATTGATTGTATCTTGAGTTAAAAGAATCTCCTTTCCATTATCTCAAGTAGCAGAGCATATGCTAAACCATCACAGCTGTAGATCATGCACTTGCCCTTTCGAACCCCACATTCTCACCACCTGTTTCTTTGTTTGATCACCAATAAATAGTGTGGGCTCCCAGAGCTCTGGGCCTTCACAGCTTCCATACACTAGCGATGGCCCCTGGTCCCATCTTTCTCTCTCAAACTGTCTTTTTCTCAATCCTTTGACTCCACTGGACCTTGTCACCCCCACGACCTGGTGTTGGGTCTGATTACCCCAACATTCCTGGCTGCCCAATGTGGGGCAACAGAGACCCCGGTGAAGAAACCCTACAGTGTGTGAAAGTGGATGACGCATCCTCAAAGGACACCCAAGGACAACTAAAAGAAGCTCGGTAGGAAAGCGGAATGCTCGGAAGAACCAGGATAACAATGGCACAAAGTGAAAGCAAACATTCTGCTTACTTGAATTTCTTAAGGAATTTATTATGAAGAGGGTGAGGCATGCGGTAAGACCCAGTGGAATCTGAGGCTTGTTTATTCAGAGAGCACCTCAACAAACTGAGGCATATATGACACAGCCAGTGCCCTTACAAATGTACAACAATTGTTTCCTTGCACAGCAGGCAGTGCTGCCGTAGACCTCTGCAGCACAATTCCAGTCTCCTTACTTCCAGGGGAGCAACCAAAGAAGGTCCCTATGGGAGTTAGGGGACCCTTACCCTCAGGAACAGTTCATCTATTACTTGGAAGGTCTAGTCTAAATTTGAAAGGTGTCGCTGTGCATACAGGAATAATTGATTGTGATTATAGTGGAGAAATTCAATTAGTTATTAGTTCCTCAACTCCGTGGTCTGCTTCCCCAGGAGAAAGAATTGCTCAGTTGTGGCTCTTACCTTACATAAAACCAGGAAGCAGCACAGTGAAAAGAACAGGAGGCTTTGGTAGTACTAATTCAGCAAGAAAGGCTGTATATTGGGTTATTCAAGTGTTTGACAAAAGACCTATTTGCACAGTAACTATTCAGGGAAAGGATTTTGAAGGACTAGTGGATACTGGAGCTGGTGTCTCTATTATTGCTTTATATCAATGGCCCCAGCACTGGCCCAAACTAAAGGCTTCCATGGGTATCATTGGCATAGGAACAGCCTAGGAAGTTTTTCAGAGTTCCTTGATTTTACCATGTCAAGGGACACCTGGTCAGGAAGGGACAATTCAGCATATTATTACACCTCTTCCAGTCAATTTATGGGGTAGAGACTTATTGCAACAATGGGGTACCCACCAAATATCTGAAGATCTATCATGAGCCACAGCATCTAGTGGGCCCACCGGTACAGTGCAAATTGAAGGTTTGAGAAGCCTTGATTTGCTTTCTCTGTGCCTTCTGTTAGAAGGGGCCTGTTTCTCATTATCAGTGGAAAGTTTTACCTCACTGTAATTAACCAAAGAGGCAGAAGCTGAGTTAACAAATGCTTCAGCAATGGCATGCCTCCCAGTTACAACCACAAAACTTTTTGCTTCTGTTTCGCTAGGTTTACTAATGTGGGATCGAGGGTACGCTTGTGTTTTTGCAGGAGATGAATGAAACCATGTGGATGCAACCCCTATAACATGGGACAGAGCAAGAAAACAGCACAGGAAGCTGAGAAACTACTGGAATGCCAGGGTTTTACCTATGGATGCTTAACGGACCAATGCTTTCTGACTGAGCTCCTCTCTACCCTGAATACAAGAGTCCCTAATAGTTAGGCAGGATTATCGTCACTCCTATTCAGCATGAAGAAGTTACAGAAGATGGACCTTCATCCTTCTGCAACCCCTAGGATTAAGGGTCCTCTTGTAAAAGGGAAAAGGGAGATATGTGGGAAGAATTCAAACCAGAGCAACTCCATTTTGAATAAGAGCTAAGTAAGTAGAGCTAAGTAAGTAGAGCTAGAGATAAGTAGAGATAGAGATAGAGAGATAGAGATAAATAGAGAGATAGAGATAAACAGAGATAAATAGAGAGATAGAGATAAATAGAGATAGATGAAGACTAGCAATATAAGATCAGTGCCCTAAAGAGGTACAAAAGCAAAGACTAGCAATATAAGGTCAGTGCCCTAAAGAGGTACAAAAGTTGAGGCTAGCAAAGACTAGCAGAGATTTGCAGGGACAGACAGGAACATTCTGAATTATGGAAATTAGCTATGGCTCAAAGTCCAAGCAAAATCTGAGAGGGCAAATATACAAGGAATAGAGGGGAGGAAGGTAAGGATAAAAATGCTCTTTCTTTTCTCTCCAACAGGACCTTTTGGATTCAAAGTTGTGCTAGCAATAGGAAATGTTACTCTTGATATAAATATATGCCTTATTACTTGCCCCGAATGTCACTTGTTTACCTACATTAATTCAACCTTTGATAAAAATCAAACTATCTTGATAATTAAAGCCAGAGAAGGAGTTTGGATCCCTGTACCTCTAAATAGACCATGGAGACATCACCATCTATTTATATTGTAACTGAGACCCTTAAAAAACTATTATCCCATTCTAAAAGATTTATAGTTGAAGGCCATTGGAGGCTCTACATTTGTGGATTTTGTTCTGGTGGTTGTGTGCTTGTGCTGTCTTCTTTTAGTCTGCAGATGCGAAAGCTGCCTCTGAAGATGAAGCCACCTCTGAGAGAAAGCTGACTTCAAGAACAAGCAATGATAGCTGTGGCGGTTTTATGAAAAAGAAAAGGGGGGCATGTTGGGAGAAAAGCTGAGTGTTGGGAGAGAAGCTGAGGCAGGGCTTGCATGTCTGACATAATGTAAAAGAGTCTTGGAACATGTCTGGGGTCCAGGGTATAAAAACTTCTGTGGCCTTTGGAACACCAAGCTCTGTGCTAAAGGGTGGAAGGCTACACTGAAGCACCATAATCTAAGCCCAGGGCATAAAATCCCTCATGGCTTGAATAGAATCCAGGGCTCGTGGCCCTGGAATGTGTCTAGACTTGCTGGCTCCTTGCTCCTTGCTCTTCCAGGATTGACTGTATCTTGAGTTAAAAGAACCTGCTCTCCATTATCTCAAGTAGCAGAGCATATGCTAAACCATCACAGCTGTAGATCATGCACTTGCCCTTTCGACCCCACATTCTCACCATCTGTTTCTTTGTTGGATTACCAATAAATAGCATGGCATCCCAGAGCTCGGGGCCTTCGCAGCCTCCATACACTAGCAATGGCCCCCTGGTCCCACTTTTCTCTCTCAAACTTTTTCTCAATCCTTTGACTCCACTGGACTTTGTCACCCCCACAACCCGGTGTTGGGTCTGATCACACCAACACACCAATACTGATATAATTGGCTAATTGGTATCACCTGGGCTCATTTAATTGGCTGATTGGAATCACCTTGGGCTAATCTAATTGGCTAATTGTATTAACCTTTATGATATAATTGACTAATTGGTATCACATGGGCTCGTTTAATTGGCTGATTGTAATCACCTGGGCTGAGCTAACTGGCTGACTAGGGTCACATGGGCTGAGTTCATTGATTGTGTCTTGAGGAGAATGAGTAAGGTAATAACCTTTTACATACTTTTCTTTTGGGGCTTTTTGTCAAGACATACTCACAAATAGGCATTAATTAGACATATGTATATAAGCCTTTGTGTTTGTTTATGTTTTCCTATATACATGTCTTTTTTTTTTTTAAAATAGAGTTTCATTCTTGCTGCCCAGGCTGGAGTGCAATGGCATGATCTCAGCTCACTGCAACCTCTGCCTCCTGGGTTCAAGTGATTCTCCTGCCTCAGCCTCCTGAGTAACCAGGATTACAGGCATGTGCCACAATGCCCACCTAATTTTTTTGTACTTTTAGTAGAGACAAGGTTTCTCCATGTTGGCCAGGCTGGTCTTGAATTCCCTATCTCAAATGATCTGCCTGCCTCGGCCTCCCAAAGTGCTGGGATTACAGGTGTGAGCCACCATGCCCAGCCATATGTGTCTTATATCTGTTTCCAAATCTACAGAAGAAAGTGTCTGGCCAGGCGCGGTGGCTCACGCCTGTAATCCCAGTACTTTGGAAGGCTGAAGTGGGCTGATCACCAGAGGTCAGGAGTTTGAGACCAGATTGACCAACATGGTGAAACCTTGCCTCTAAGTAAAAATACAAAAATTAGCCAGACCTGTTGGCAGGCACCTGTAGTCGCAGCTACTCAGGAGGCTGAGGCAGTTGAATCACTGGAACCCAGGAGGCGGAGATTGCAGTGAACCAAGATCATAGCACCACTGCACTCCAGCCTGGTGACAGAGCAAGACTCCATTAAAAAAAAAAAACTATGCTTACTTTGTATAAGTTAAATGATGATAGATTTAGGTAATAGCATACATCCATTTGAGTAGCATTCTAGGTATATTTCATACGGCAGAAAATTTTATACCTCTATGGAATTATCTTTGTATATTACTATTGATATCAATTACGATCAACACTTTCACCTTCTACATCTTTATTTTTTGTGAATATAGGTACAAACCTGGATACATCTGGATGTAGGTAGATAAACACACACGTACAGAATTATATAATTATAATTACATAAATGTTTATTAATATACAAGATTTCAGCAAATGACATTTTTAATACCTTAGTATATACTAAGAATGCAGATGTGGACTTACTAGTCTACTTTATGGCACAATAGAAATCCATAATGGAACACAGACATACAATGATGTTTACATAAACAAAGCTTCACTGTCAAAGGCAAGGTCTTGGAAACAAGCTGACAATACAGCAATGTAATGCTTTATGACCAGATTAGAGTCTTTGGGCCCTGCTTTTCTTCTCAGTGTAGAAAAATGCTGTTTAAATCTGCCATTCTGATCTAATGAATCTACAGTCACTATTTAGATTATTGGCTGATTTGATCCACCTGTGCAGAACTATTTGTCTTATTGAAATCAACTAACCTGAGCTAATTGGTTAATTAGATACTTCTGAACTGAACTAATTGACTCATTGGAATCACAGTTCTAACTAACTGGCTGATTGGATTCTCTAGAATTTCTCTAGCTAATTTCCCGATTAAAATCACATGAGCTAGCCAGGTGCGGTGGCTCATGCCTGTAATCCCAGCACCTTGGGAGGCCGAGGCAGGTGGATCACCTGAGCTCGGGAGTGCAAGACCAGCCTGCACAACATGGAGAAACCTTGTCTCTACTAAAAATACAAAATTAGCTGGGTGTGGTGGCACATGCCTGTAATCCCAGCTACTTGGGAGGCTGAGGCAGGGGAATCCCTTGAACCCGGGAGGTGGAGGTTGCAGTGAGCCGAGATCATGCCATTGCATTCCAGCCTGGACGACAGAGTGAGAGACTCCGTCAAAAAAGTAAAATAAAATTACATGAGCTGAGCTTTCTGATTAGGATCACTGAGGCTGAGTTAATTGGCCAATTAGAGTCACCTGGGCTGATCTCATTGACTGATTGAAATTGTTAAGGCTGAGCTAATTGGCTGTTTAAAGTCACCTAGGCTGAGCGAATTACTGATTGGAATCACCTGGATTGAGTCAATTGGCGAAATGTAATCACCTGGGCTGAGCAAATTTACTGATTGTAATTGCCTAAGCTGACATAATTGGCCTAATGGAATCACTTGCGCTGAGCTAATTGGCTAATAGGAATCGCCTGGGCTCAGCTAATTGGCTGATTGAAAACAGCTGACTTGAGCTCATTGGCTTATTAAATTTGCCTCATGGAATCGCATTCATCTATCTTGAGGAGCATGAGTACGGACATAACCTCTGACTTACTTTACATTTGTGAGATGTTATAAAACATAGTCACAAATTCAGGTTACATATGTATGTCTCTATATGTTTCTATGACCCTGGGTCTTTGTATTTTTTTTTTTTTTCTTTTTGAGACAGAGTCTCATTTTGTCACCCAAGCCGGAGTGAAGTGGTGTGATCATGGTTCACTGAAACTTCCACCTCCCATGTTGAAGCAATTCTCATGCCTCAGCCTACCTAGTATCTGGGATTGCAGGTGTGTACTACCATGCTCAACTAAGTTTTGTATTTTTAGTGGAGACGGGATTTTGCCATGTTGGCTCAGCTGGTCTCACCATGCCCAGCTAATTTTTGTATTTTTAGTAGAGATGGGGTGTCGCTATGTTGGCTTGGCTGGTCTTGAACTCCTGGCTTCAAGTGAAGGACCTGCCTTGGCCTCCCAAAGTGCTGGAATTACAGGCATGAGCCACTGCACCTGGCTGTATATATTTCTCTAGCTACATATGTTATATCTGTATCTAAATCCAAAGAAAAAAGCATCTGAAAACACCCTGAAATTTGCTTTCAGTATAGCAGTCCATCTTAAAGTCAGAGACCTCTTGTTTAATTTTCTTACCCAAAATGTTACTACTTGAGCAAACACAACAATATGATAAGATTCTATTTCTGCCAGGCACTGTGGCTCACATCTGTAATCCCAGCAGTTTGGGAGGCTGAGGCAGGCAGATCACCTGAGGTCAGGAGTTGAAGACCAGGCTGACCCACATGGAGAAACCCCGTCTCTACTAAAAATACAAATTTAGCCAGGTGTGTTGTTGGGTGCCTGTAATCCCAGCTACTCGGGAGGCTGAGGCACGAGAATCACTTGAACCTGGGAGGTAGAGGTTTTAGTGAGTCAAGATGTTGCCATTGCACTCCAGCCTCCGCAACAAGAGTGAAACTCTGCAAAAAAAAAAAAAAAAAAAAAAAAAAAAAAGCCGGAAACAGTATCTCATGCCTGTAATCCTAGCACTTTGGGAGGCTGAAGTGGGCAGATCACAAGGTCAGAAATTGGAGACCAGCCTGACCAACATGGTGAAACCCCATCTCTGCTAAAAATACAAGAATTAGCCAGGCGCGGTGGCGTATGTGGTTTTAAACTCAGCTACCCAGGAGGCTGAGGCAGAAGAACTGCTTGAGCCTGGAAGGCGGAGGTTACAGTGAGCTGAGATCGTGCCACTGCACTCCAGCCTGGGTGACAGAGTGAGACTCTGTCTCAAAAAAAAAAGAAAAGAAAGAAAGAAAGAGAAGAAGATTCTATTTCTATGTCACATATTTGAAAATAAAAGCTCTAAAATTGAGGGAAGCTTTAAAGAGAATTATTTCTCATTTGCAAATTTGGATTAAGGCTTTCAAGCTAAGGCTAGTTTATCCATATTTTCCCATTCACCAGAATTAAAAAGGCCATGTTTGACTTGGCAATAAATGACTCGATGGCCTTAGTGCACTTTTGCTAACAGATTGTGAGCAACAAAAACCAATTCTTTCTTTGAAAACATCAAATGCAGCAAGATGCAGGTCAGAGTATACCTCCATTTGTGTACTCTTATGGATAAAATTTAAGGGGCAAATAAGATTTTGCAGTCATTGAAGTTTTTCTTTACATTGCTATAAGTACAAATACCTATTTATCCTTTTACCTCCTATATCTTTACTCTGTATTCATATGGAAAAAATGATAGCTAGATCTGTATATAGACATACATGGGTAGACAGATAAACACACACATATAGAATTATGTGGGTTTGCCTACGTAGATATTTATTTGTACAAAAGATATTAATAAACAAACTTTTTTTTTTTTTAGATGGAGTCTCCCTGTGTCGCCCACCCTGGAGGGCAGTGGTGTGATCTCGGCTCACTGCAAGCTCCGCCTCCCAGGTTCACGCCATTCTCCTGCCTCAGCCTCCCGAGTAGCTGGCACTACAGGCTCCCGCCACTACGCCCGGCTAATTTTTTTGTATTTTTAGTACAGACGGGGTTTCACTGTGTTAGCCAGGATGGTCTCGATCTCCTGACCTCGTGATCCGCCCACGTCGGCCTCCCAAAGTGCTGGGATTACAGGTGTGAGCCACCGCGCCCGGCCTTAACAAACATTTTAAGTTCCCCAGCCTACATTGAGGATGCAGATATAAACTTACTCTCACCTATACGGATCCATACCATCTCAGATTGGACCACAGCCATACAATGTTATGTTTAAACATGAACAAACCTTCACTTTTAGGTGCATGACCCGGGAAGTATGTTTTTGGTAAAGCCATATAAGACTCTAGTTCCAGCTTAGCATTTCAGGGCCCTGCTTCCTTTCTCACCGTATGCCAATGTGATTCATATTTGCCATTTGGGTCCTGCCTGGATGCCTTCACTTTCCCAATTTAGCTAATTGACTTATATCCATCTACGCTGATCTAAGTGGCTCATTAAATTCACGTGGTGTGAAGAAGTTGGGAAGAAAAATGGCGTCTGACCTACTTATTCTCAGGCTTCTCTGCAGGACATATGCAATAATGGAAATTACACTGACATACCTGTGTTACCCATTTTCTGTGTATATGTTTATCTAGCCACCTATCTTATATCTATCTATATATATATATATCTGTGTGCATAAAAAAGACCACAAAGAAGAATAGGTCAGAGGTGATTTTTATTTTATTTTCCATTCAGGCCGGGTAAATCCAATCAGCCATTACCTCAGTGAAGATTTATCAACTCCAAGCCACACATCAAATCACGTTTTGCTAAATGTGAAAATATCCTCATTACTGGCCACCAAGGTGTTTTAAATTCAGTGTCTATTCAAAATAGCCCATGGGGTTCTGTCCATCCAGCTAGGAACCTTCAGACATGCCAGTGGCCCTAACCTTTTTCACAAGGAGCTCTGGCCTGACCAATAAGAACCACCTTTGGTGCTTCAGTGTAGTGTCACTATCACTTGTTTGAAATGCAGCCAAGTAACGTACCATTATATTTGCTTTCAGTATGACAGTCTACTAATAAGAAACCTAGGCTTTTGGTGGGGCATGGTGGCTCATGCCTGTAATCCCAGCACTTTGAGAGGCTGAAGCAGGCAGATCACCTGAGTTCGAGAGTTAGAGATCAGCCTGACCACCATGGTGAAACCCCGTCTCTACTAAAAATACAAAAGTATCCGGGTGTGATGGTGCACGCCTGCAATCCCAGCTACTTGGGAGGCTGAGGCAGGAGAATCACTTGAACCTGGGAGGCGGAGGTTGCAGTGAGCTGAAATCGCGCCATTGCACTGCAGCCTGGGCAACATAAGCAAAACTCCATCTCAAAAAAAAAAAAAAACAAAGAAAAAAAAAAGAAACCTAGGCTTTCTGTCCATTACCATAAAGTCCCTATTTTAGCCACAAAGGCAAAAGGACAACAGTGTACTTTCACATTGCACACTCATGGAAATAAACAAGAGCCCCTGTCTTGATGAAAGTCTTAATGAAAAAGAATAAACATTCTCAAATTTTGGTGAGAAACTTTAGACTGAGGCTGGTTCAGCTTTTGCCCTGTGTGCAACAGAAAGAGAAGGGTAAACATTGATATGGCAATGAATGACTTCCATCACCTTAGTGCATTTTTATCTCCCAGAAGCAAGAAACAAACAAAAAAAAAGCTGCTGCTTTCATATATGTTAAATGAGGCACGATGTATGTTAGAGCATATTTTTATTTGTGTAATATTTGTGATATTGTTTATAGGGCAGATAAACTTATACATATATGGAAGTTACTTTTGTTTTTGTTTTGTTTTTGTTTTTCAGAGTCTTGCTCTGTCTGCCAGGCTGGAGTGCAGTGGCACAATCGTGGATCAATGCAACCTCTGCCTCCAAGATTCAAATGATTCTCTGACCTCAGCCTCCCAAGTAGCTGAGATTACAGGCACTCACCACCCCGCCCGGCTAATTTTTGTATTTTTAATAGAGACAGGGTTTCACCATGTTGGCCAGGTTGGTCTCGAACTCGTGAGCTGAGGTGATCCACCCACCTTGGCCTCCCAGTGTGCTGGAATTACAGGCACGAGCCACCGCACCCGGCTGGAAGTTACTCTTTATCTTACTATTTGTAGCAATGCATATCAATACGAAGATTGACATATCTAGATATAAATATACATAGGAAGACAAACACATAATTATATAAATATTTATATGTAAATACTTATGTATACAAAATACATTCCCCAAAAGACATTTTTAATCTTCTGGCATGCACTAAACATGCTGATGTAGAATTACTTCTTTTTTCTTTTGCTAAGTAACATGTCAGAATGGAACGTAGCCATACAATGTTGTTTATGTAAATATCAACAAAGCTTTAACTTCAAGGGCAAGTCTACAGAAATAAGCTGAAAATAAAACCATGTAACTTATCTGTCCAGGTTAGTATTTCAGTGCCCTGCATGTCTCCTCAGTGTGTGCATGTTCTGTTCACATCCACCATTTGGGGCCTGCCTTGATAAAGCCACAGTCTCTATTTAGATAATTGGATGATTGGATCCACCTCATCTGAGCTAATTTGCTGGTTGGAATCACCTGGGCTGTGCAAATTGGCTGATTACAACCACCTGGGTTCTGCTAATTTGCTTATTTAATTTACCTCGGCTTCAGGGGTAGAATACGGAGATGTCATCTGATCTGCTTTATTTCTGAGCCTTTTTGTTTGTGAGATCTATGCACAAATAAACATTACGTAGACATATCCATGTGACTCATTTTATGTGTATATGTTTATCTAGCCATCTATTTTATATGTACAGAAATAAGCCTGTAAAATAAACTTGGTCAGAGGTTATTTTCATTTCTTAACCTACAGTTAGGTAAATTCAATCAGCTACTTACCTCAGTGAAGATTTATTCAAACCAAGCCACACGCCACATCACATTTTTTTCCACAAGTGTAAAAATGTTCTTAATAACCTGGCACCTGGGTGTTTTTAATTCTGGTCTCATTAAAACAGCCCAGTGAGGTTTTGTTCATCTATCTAGGAACCACCAAAAATGCTTGACATTAGTGGGCTGAGCCTTCCTCACAAAGAAGATTTGATGTGGTAAATAAAAGCCACCTGTGGCACTTAGGTGAATGTTCATTATCACCCATTTGAAATGTGGCCAAGTACCATGCACCATTATATTTGCTTCCATCATCACCATCTTTCTTCTAAAAAGAGACCTAGACTTCTTTTGCATTACCATAAATACCCGACTTCAGCCACAAAGACAAAAAAGACAAGGGTGTGATTTTACATCACAAAGTGCTGGGATTACAAGTGTGAGCCACCGCACCCAGCAAAAGTATAATCTTTCATAAAACATTAATGGATTTTAATAAAAACAAGCATATGCATCAATAATGCTTGTGGTAAAATAAAGATTCATTTTGTTGATTTCTATTGAGCTCCCAAATATTTGATCAAAAGCTAGCAAATATACAGCAGAACAGGAATATTATTCTAAATAAGAATATTGTGAATGATTATTTTGTCAATATAAGTAAAAATATGACCTCACACTAATAGTCTCGCCTATAGTTGTACAACATCAAGTGCTATGTTTTATTTAAAATTGTATTTCATATAAGTATTCAATTTATATCACCCTCCTTTGCTATTTCAATGCCTTCTCCACTTTATATCAGTGGAAAACAGGCCAGCAGGTCCCAGGAAAGCACGTGGTGCTATTGCTGCTTTAACAATGATCGTGAAGAGCACTTGTTTGGGTGCTACTAACGTGTCAAATACTGTTATTTGGCTTAAAGTACTGGTTTTCTATTTTTTTATAAATGTACTAGTAATACAAATTTGTTAGCTAAGAAGACTTTATCTTATTCAAATATGTTTTATGGGATTTCATTGACATTTAAGTGTCTGAATTATCTGGAACATTGAAATTCTCCATAAACCCAAATTGAGTACTATAATCATTTACTAAAAGCTTTTCTGAGGCAGAGTAAGATTTATAACATTTTATTATCATATGGAAGAAGTGTGTTAACCATGTTTTCAGTAATCACTCTGAACACAGCATTCTCAGTTCCCAGTATGCACCCTGAGTCACTCAGGGGAAACTGGTTTCTCTGTGAAGAGGCAGAAGAAAATGCTGAGTGGAGGCACCACACTGCACAGCAATGCTTTCCATATGCACCTATGAGGGTCTTCATTTAATTGGACTGTTATTTGCATGGCTAGATACTTACTGAATTTAGTCATACTAGTTTTTAGCAGCTAATGGCTTCTGTTACCCATTAATTTTATACATTGGCTTTTTTGAAAAACAAGTCATTTGTTAATTTACTCTAAATTGAGACTACATTTACAACTTCAATTTTTCAGTGTTAAAGCAAATCAGAGAAGAGCAATGTGTGTATATAGTGTGCATTTTCCTGCCTATCAAAATTCTTCCTTCATTGCCTTGGAAACCCTGGGCAGCCACCAATAAAATACTCCCTTTGAATACTTTAGCAAGGATTTTAGATTTCAAAAGGTCAAAAACCATCATTGAGCAAAGCCAAAATCTTGTCTTTGTTTCTTGCTAATTATCTGGCCATTTCCAAAAGCATGGAAATTATGCCAAGCCATTGAAAAGATGTGGTTTTGATTAATTTTATCCCATGTCAAATGTTTTCTCTAATTGTTACTTTTGTCATGTTAATCTAAAACAAACCATCTACATAACTAATCATGCATTCAATATTCATGTTAAGGTGTTTACAGTTTAATATTATATTACAGTATAGTAGAATCCTCTATAATTAGAAGTTAATTATTTATAAATGTATTGTTTTTAAGGTTTTTCAAAAGTGAAAACAAATAATTAGGAATGCTTTTTGAAATAAGTTCAATTCTAGGACATTACCCACTGGTCTTCATGGTATTTCTGTAATGAATACTGTAAACCTGGGTCACCAGAATGGTGCAGACATGCTGATTGAATTAGAATGAGTTCAGCCTTGTTGGTAGACTATTGGTATCCCAGAGGCTGATCATTCACTACAGCTTACTAAATGTAGTTCCATAATGCCAGAGAGCACTTTTACCCAGGTTACCTTTTTCCTCCCATTAATTTGGTCCTGTTGTGGTCTCCTCTTTCTCTTAAGCTATCCCAGATGAGAGGTGATTATTTCTTGCATGAATGAATTTCCCTTTTCTTCCCCCTCTGCCATAGGATCCTCTTATTCTCCCTACTGGAAGCAACATCCAGGAGGCAGGAATGATGACAATATACAAACATGTTTCCTGCCATGTGACCACCATAAGCAGCTTACAACATGGCCCACCTAGAAGTCACTGACTTTAAAGCCAGCAGGGGTGATTTTCTGTGATGTGTCTCTTTCCCTTAAAAGCACCTATGATTAAGATTAGCACAATCAGGATAATCTCCATTTTGATAACACAAAGTCAACACATGAGTAACCTAATTTCATGAGTAATTTCCCACCACAGTCACACATCTTTTTACACTCAAGAGGAAAGTATTACACAGCAGGTGTGCAACAGACTGGGAATCCAGGGTATTATCTTAGAATGTTGCCTACCCAACTGAATAAGCTTTTAAAATATTCTTTCTGCTGTTTTTGTTATCTACATAAACAAAGCTGTCATCTGCAAATAATAATTAACTCCTTTCCAGTTTTATTCATCACAAATATTAACTAACATCTTCTTTCTGGCTTATTTTTCCTTTATGTACTATTTTATACATTCACACACACATAGAACAATAAAAATCTATCCACTTAGTCAATTTTAGTGAAATTTACATTAAAATAAATGTTAGAAATAATTGTTTTCTGTTTGAAGAGGGCTTTTATTGTTGTACTCAAGAGTGTTATCTCTGGAGAGAAAGTTGCCTGTGCTTTAATAGGCAGATTCTGGGGAGAATCCGAACCATAAGTCATAAAATTTTACATTAATAAATTCAAGACAAAGCAGAAAGTATAGATTTGCTTTCAGCATTTTCATGGTGTTTAGTTTTCTATTAGTCACCTAATTAATTTGTTTTGTTCCAATAATTGCACTTTTCTTCTAAAAATATGTACAAACTCATACACAAACACACTCACTTTATAATTTTCTTACATCTAAGGTTTATCTTCAGAGTAATATGTGTATACTTAACTCTATGTAAATTAAAAGTCTATATGATTGCATGCAGAGAGACCACATGTTCAAAGAAAACTATATAACAAATATTTATTAATAATTTTTCAGGACTCAGAAATGTATGAATTTTATTTCTATTTCTGTTTATTTTATTTATTTATTTTTTGAGATGGAGTCTCTTCTGTCACTGAGGCTGGAGTGCAGTGGTGCAATCTCAGCTCATTGCAACCTCCATCTCCTGGGTTCAAGCGATTCTCCTGCCTCAACCTCCAGGCATGCGCTGCTAATTTTTATATTTTTATATTTTTAATAGAGATGGGTTTTCACCATGATGGCCAGCCTGGTCTTGAAATCCTGACCTTAGGCAATCCACCTGTCTTGGCCTCTTAATGTTCTGGGATTACAGGCATGAACCCCTGCTCCTGGCTGTATTCTATTTATATTTCTGTATAATTTTTATTATAACCATAAAAATAACCCTGTAGTCCATAAGAATTTAATTGTACATTTTACAATAAATAATAAAGTGTATAATTACACTGTTTGTAATAGAAAGAATAAATGCTAGAGATGATGGATGCTCTATTTACCCTAGTGTAATTACTACGTATTGTATGCTTGAATACAAATATGCCATATAAGGCATAAATATATACACATACTGTATACACACAAATACTAATAATAAATTTCAGTAAGAAAAAAGAGTAAAAATTTAACCTATAAGAACAGTATTCTTCAACTCATTTGCAGTTTAAAGCCACTGGCAAAGTGATTACTAGAGATGTTATTCCACTATGCACCAAATAGTATATTGCTACCATCTTTTACCTACACCCTTAAGTAATGTGGGATAGGCTAAATTTAGTTGCATAATAATGCTTCATTCAATGCACAGTAGTCTTAACATGGTAAAAAAAATAAGTTCACACATAATCTAACAATTTTTAAATGTACTGCATTTTATTACATAAAAGTACAACCAGTAAAATTACTAATTTATTTTAATATACTTTTAACTATAATTAATAATTTCTCTCACTATAATATAGAAAAGTATTACTCTGAACATCTACCATATGCATTACTTAATATAGGTTAACTACAAAGAACCTCTCCACTTATATTTTCATCAGGCATCTTTCATTTTAATGTCCTTACTCTTTTATAGAAAAGGTCATAAATATGCCCAATTAATAAAAAAGAATCTCTAATATCTCGATGCAGCAACAATTGATCACATGCTTTCACACGTGAATACGATAGGAATAAAATAACAGCACAAAGTAATTTGAAAGCTGTATTACATCATTATTCACTTTTCAAAAAATTTTTTTCAAGGAAACAAGTATACTTTCAATGTAATTACAATGCTTCAAAAAATCTACTCCTTTTATAGTTACATACAAATAATTTATCTAACAACTTTAGTCGTGGATTAGTTTTTATACTCAACACTCTAAGTGTAATGTCTGAAGTGTCAGTGCCTTAGTTATTCTAGTGTAAATTCTCTGATATTTACATAGAATCAATTTTGAATTAAGCATTTTTTCTTATTTACTGCAACGGCAAAAATATACTTTAGTATAAACTCTCTGGTGTTTTACAAGCTGTAGTTTTTGTAAAAAAAAAAATGTCTCTCCAAATTCATTACATTTGCAGGACTTTTCTCCAATATAAAATCCCTGATGTTGAACAAAGCTTGAGCAACTGCTTAGGGATTATCCTCTAGTACAAAATGATTGCAATAAGATCTGTGATACAAGTAAAGGTACCACAACCTCCTTTATATTTGTAATGGTTGTCTTCAGAATAAATTTTTTTTCACTTTAAAGGTTTATATTTTCTGAAAGATTTTTTGACAGTAATTGTACTTTTAATGCTTTTATTAATTATGAATCTTCTTATGTTGAGTAAGATGTGAGTAGGCATTAATGGTTTTTCCATATTCTTTATATTTGTACGATTTTTCTCAAAGATACTAGCTTTACTATGAAATAAGGTGTAAGCACTGATGAAAAGTTTTGCCACATTCTTCACACTTGTAGGAGTTTTGGCAGTATGAATTATCTTATGTACAATCAAGCGTGGCAACCATATAAAGGCTTTTTCACATTTTATGTATTTCTAGAGTTTCATACCAGTATAATTTTTTTTATGTATAGAAAAGTTGGAGGGGTTGCTAAAAGCACTTTCACATCTTTCAGGTTTGTAGAGCTCCTCTTCAGCATGAATTATCACCATGTCTCTTAAGAATTGAGAACTTGTGGCTGGGCATGGTGGCTCATGCCTGCAGTCCCAGCACTTTAGGAGGCTTAGGCGGGTGGATCACCTGAGGTCAGGAGTTTGAGACCAGCTTGGGAAATATGGTGAAACTCCATCTCTACTAAAAATACAAAAATTAGCTGGGTGTGGTGGTGGGCACCTGTAATCCCACTTACTTGGGAGGCTGAGGCAGGAGAATGGCTTGAACCCAGGAGGCGGAGGTTGCAGTGAGCCGAGATTGTGCCATTGCACTCCAGCCTGGGTGACAAGACTGAAACTCTGTCTCAAAAAAAAATAAAAATGAGAACTTGTTATAGGCTTTGCCACATTTTTCACACTTGTAGGTTTCTGTCCAGTATAAATTATGTGTAATGAGGGTTGAGAACTTCCTTAAAAAGCTTTGTCACATTCTTGGTTTCTGTCCAATATGAATTATCATATGTTTATTAATGTCTGAGGATCAGTTAAAAGCTTTGCCACATTCTTCACATTTGTACGGTTTCTCTGCAGTAGAAATTCTCTTATGTGTAGTAAGGTGTGAGGACCAGCTGAAAGCTTTGCCACATTCTTCACATTTGTACGGTTTCTCTGCAGTAGAAATTCTCTTATGTGTAGTAAGGTGTGAGGACCAGCTGAAGGCTTTGCCACATTCTTCACATTTGTAGGGTTTCTCTCCTGTATGAATTATCTCATGTTTACTAAGGGTTGGTGATTAAATAAAGGCTTTGCCACATTTATCACACTTGTGTGATTTCTCTCCAGTGTGAATTTTCCTATGTGAAAAAAGTGTTGTGGGATGGTTAAAAGCTTTGCCACATTCTCTACATCTGTAGGGTTTCTCTCCAGTATGAAGTATCTTATCTGTAGTAAGGGTAGAGGAGTACATAAAGGCTTTGCCACATTCTTCACATTTGTAGGGTTTCTCTCCTTTATGAATTATCTTATGTGTGGTAAGTTGAGAGGAGTTCTTAAAGACTTTGTCACATTCTTCATATTTGTAGGGTTGCTCCTTAGTATAAATTATCTTAGGTGTAGTAAGGGGTGAGGACCAATTGTAGGCTTTGCAACATTCTTCACATTTGTAGGGTTTCCCCTTAGTATGAATTATCTTATGTGTAGTAAGGTTAGAGGACTGCTTAAAGGTTTTGGCACATTCTTCACATTTGCAGAGTTTCTCTCCAGTATGAATTATCTTATGTGTAGTAAGGTGTGAGGACCAGTTGAACGCTTTGCCACATTCTTCACATTTGTAGGTTTCTCTCTAGTATAAATTTTCTTATATGTAGTAAGGGTTGAGGACTGGTTAAAAGCTTTGCCACATTCTATACATTTGAAAGGTTTTTTCCAGTATGTCTTCTTTTATGTCTGTTTGAATTTGAAAATTTATGAAAGACTTTCATATATTTATCACATTGAAATATTTTGCTCTGGGTATTTGTGAAACATTGGTTAAGTCCGTTACAACCTCTTTTGTGCACCTCACACTCATCCATATTTTCACAGCCTTTTTTTTTACTGTAAATTGTCATGTCCATTTTTTTCATATCTTCTCAGTATCACTTTTTGGAAAGATTCTTTTATTCTCTGCTCTGGCCAAAGGTCTTGGGCAAAATGAGACCACATAACCAAAAGAAACAATAAAAACACATTACTTCAATTGCTAGACTCAGATAAATATACTTTACAAATCTAACCTATAAAATTATACAAACTACATAAGCAAGATGACATAGGAAAATACCACAAGCTGTAATTTCTTCCTGGACATATAAATTTAACAAAAACATACTGACCAAAATACATTTGTAACAAATTTATAAATAAGTTACGTGTATGAACGGCCCCAGGTGAGCACAATGCAAACAGCCACATAGAAGAAAAAGTAAAGTCTGTTACTTATACCCAACACAGGTCCTCCTGCTCTCCAGTATAACATTGTGCTTTTAAAAGTAAAAAGCTGGCTGGACTTGGTGGCTCATGCCAGTAATCCCAGCTCTTTGATAGGCTGACATCGGTGGATCATGAGGTCAGGAGTTCAAGACCAGCCAAGATAGTGAAACCCCATCTCTGCTAAAAATACAAAAAATTAGCCGGTCATGGTATTGGGTGCTTGTAGTCCCAGCTACTCGAGAGACTGAGGGAGAGAGTTGCTTGAACCCAGGAGGCGGAGGTTGCAGTGAGCCAAAATTGTGCCACTGCACTCCAGCCTGGGCAACAGAAAGAGACTCCGTCTCAGAAAACAAAAAGAATAATAAATAAATCAAATCAAATCAAATCAAATCAAATCAAATATATTGAATAATATTCAGTAAGTGAAATAGGAACACAGACAACTTCTGAAGATTAGAAAAATGAGGATAACAACAAGAAATATTAAAAAGGAAAAAAAAGGCCAGGCACGGTGGCTCACGCCTGTAATCCCAGCACTTTGGGAGCCCAAGGCAGGTGGATTACCTGAGGTCTGGAGTTCAAGATCAGCCTGGCCAATGTGGTGAAACCCTGTCTCTACTAAAAATACAAAAACCAGCTGGATGTGGTGGTGGGCACCTGTAATCCCAGCTACTCGGGAAGCTGAGGCAGGGGAATTGCTTGAACCCAGGAGGCGGAGGTTGCAGTGAGCCGAGATCATGCCATTGCATTCCAGCCTGGGCAACAGGAGCAAAACTCTGCATCAAAAAAAAAAAAAAAAAGCAAAAAAAATCGTGAATATAAATAATACAAAAAAATAACTGAAAATTTCTTAAAACATGATATAAAGATGAAGAAGCTAAACAAACTAGGATACACCAAAGATATTCATAACAAATACACATATAAATAAAATTTCAAAAATCACAGATAAGAAGAAGAGAATTTTGGGAGGTGCAAGATAAAAATGATGTGTTATTTATAAGCATGGTTTCATGAGATAATCAGTGAATTTATTAAAAAATTTGCAGGTCAGAAGGAAGCTATGTGATATTGTTAAAGTTATAATTAAAAAAAAACTGTCAAGTGGGAATGAGAATATCAGGAAAATTGTACTCTCAAATAAAAAGAAGTCCTTCCAAAGTAACCAAATCCTGAGAAAGTATATTGGCACTGCATATGTCCTACATATCAAAGATGCTGAAAGGAGTTTCTTCCACTGAAAATAATATAATGCAAGAAAACAACACTTAATCATATGAAAATACATAAATTTCTGGAAAAAATATGTACATACACAAAAATAAAAGTTCTTACTTAACATTATCATAATGGTGCAGAAAACATTGTTAGTTATTTTCTAAAATTTAAAAGATAAAAGTATAGGAATTACTATAAACATCTGTTAATGAATATACAACATAAAAAATATAATTAGCAAAATCATAACAAAGTTGAAGGCTGATGTAATGATGAAGAATTTTTGTATGCAACTGAAGCTGATTCTTTATCACAAACAAATATATTGTTGGATCTTTTAGAGGTTTTATGTAATCCTTGAAAGTACCACTTAGAAAATATCTGTATAGATACATAAAAAAGAAATAAGACAAAAACAGAAAGCATGTTATTGCGGGATCTGGCCAGCAGCCCGCAATGCAATGGGGCTCTTTCTTTGTTCCCAGGTGGATCGGCAGGTCAAGAAATAAAAGACACACACAAGATAGTGAAAGTTGAGTCCAGGAGGGTCACCGCCTTCTGGTCCTGCCATGCTGCCAATGCACTGGATATACCAGCATTTATTATTAAGTTTAGTGAGGGTGGGGGTAGGTTAATGAGGGATTTAGAGTCGTTTGATTATGAGGTGAGATGGTCACATGGGAATGAAGTAATTCTTTAACATAACATCAATATGCAGAAGTACAGTATACAGAGATAAGAATTTACAATATAGTGTGTGCATCAGCAATTTTTAACAGAGCCTTAAAACGGAAACCCCGTCTCTCCATAATCTATGATTAATGATGAGCAAGATATTAATCAGTAGTAATAATTACAGCAAAAGCTGGTTGCAAACAATCAATAAAAGGAGGATGTAAAACTAGACAACCGATTAGACCACAAATTCTCAGAAGGGAGTATGTCTTAACCCTAAAGAGACCTAGAAGAGCCATGGCAAGATAAGGGCGTTTATAGCCCGATGTTATCCATATGAACAGGCACCCCTCATGCATCCATTTGTAGGCTCTCCACAAGGGTCGCATTCCATTCCCAGAGCTATGAATATCTGCTTTTCTGGGATAGGAATCTTGGTGATGTGAAACCTTCCTGACTGCACATCCGTTTATAGGCTCTCTGCAGGGCGAAGCACATCACGCACTGTTGGCTCATTCTGGCAGCCCAACCTGGCATTGTCTTTACACAATCCTGCATGTAATTTTGTATTTACAACTATCAGGAGCATTTCATCTTTCATTCCATAGCCATAGTTTCAGGGGGTCTCCCTACAGCATGTCAATATAAAAATAAAAATAAAAAAACACAAAAAAGAAAGAGAAAATGAGAGACAAAGATACAAAAATCAAATAACACAATTAATAAAATAACATTAGTAAGTTTTTCTCTCTCAAAAAACCATTTTAATATATATATAATTATCTTTCCAATCAACAGACATACTTTCAATATAAAGGTTTATTAAAAAATTTTTAAATCAAGATTCAACTTGCCTTTCTACAAGAGTTAGTTGAGATCTAATGAGAAAAAAAGACTGAAAGTGGAAAGATGGAAGTAGAAATTTCATGTAAATATTAACCAAATGAGAGCAGAAGAGCTCAGAATAATATTACACAAGCTACATCTTAAGTCAAAAACTGTCATATTTTATAAAATGTACTTTAAGTCAAATCTTCAAAATGACAAAGAAGCATGCAGCATGGTTAAACGCTTTGCCACATTCTTCACACTTGTAGAGATGCTCTCCAGTATGAATTATCTTATGTGTAGTGAGGTTCGAGGAGTACTTAAAGGCTTTGCCACATTCTTCACATTTGTAGGGTTTCTCTCTAGTATGAGTTATCTTATATGCAGTAAGGTATGAGGACCAGTTGAAGGCTTTGCCACATTCTTCACATTTGTAGAGTTTCTCTCCAGTATGAATTCTCTTATGTATAGTAAGGTATGAGGACCAGTTGAAGGCTTTGCCACATTCTTCACATTTGTAGGGTTTCTCTCTAGTATGAATTTTCTTATGTGTAGTAAGGGTTGAAAACTTGTTAAAAGCTTTGCCACATTCTATACATTTGAAAGGTCTTTTTTCCCGTATGTCTTCTCTTATGTCAGTTTGAATTTGAAAATTTATGAAAAACTTTCCTATATTTATCACATTGAAATATTTTTTTCTTGGTATTTGTGAAGCATTGGTTAAGTCCATTATAACCTTCTTTGTGCACCTTACACTCATCCACACTTTCACATTCTTTTTTTAACTGTAAATTGTCATGTCCACATTTTTCATAACTAACTTCTCAGTATCAGTTTTTGGAAAGAATCTTTTACGCTCTGCTCTGGCCAAAGGTCTTGGGCAAAATGAGAACACATAACTGAAAGAAACAATACAAATACATTACTTCAGTTGCTAGACTCAGATAAATATACTTTACAAATCTAACCTATAAAATTATACAAACTACATAAGCAAGATGACATAGCAAAATACCATAAGCTGTAATTTCTTCCTGGACATATAAATGTAACAAAAACATACTGACCAAAAAACGTTTGTAAAAAATGTATAAATGAGTTAAGTGTGTGAAGGGCCCCAAGTGAGCACAATGCAAAGAGCCACATAGAAGAAAAAGAGGTCTGTTACTTATACCCAACACAGCTCTTCCTGCTCTCCATATAAGATTGTGTCTTCAAAAGTAAATTGCCAAATGGATGTGGTGGCTTATACCTGTAATCCCAGCACTTTGGGAGGCTGATGTGGGTGGATGACTTGAGGTCAGGAGTTCAAGACCAGCCCGGCTGAGATGGTGAAACCCCATCTCTACTAAAAATACAAAAAATTAGCCAGGCATGGTGGTGGGTGCCTGCAATCACAGCTACTCGGGAAGCTGAGGCATGAGAATTGCTTGAACCTGGAAGGCGGAGGTTGCAGTGAGCAGAGATCGTGCCACTGCACTTCAGCCTGGGCAAAAGAGAGAGACTTCATCCCCTGCCCCTCCAAAAAAAAAGTAAATTGCTGACCAGGCATGATGGCTCAAGCCTGTAATCTCAGAACTTTGGGAGGGCAAGGCGGGAGGATTATCTGAGATCAGGAGGTTGAGACCAGCCTGACTAACATGGTGAAATCCCATCTCTACTAAAAATACAAAAAATTAGCCAGGCTTGGTAACAGATATGTGTAATCCTAGCTACTTGGGAGGCTGAGGCAGGAGAATTGCTTGAACTGTGGTGGCAGAGATTGTAGTGAGCCAAGATCATGCCACTGCACTCCAGCCTAGGTAACAGAGTGAGACTCTGTCTCACACATACACACACATGTAAATTGCCAACCCCTCGTTTTTAAAAACAAAACAAAAAAAAACTAGAAAAATATTGGCACATATATCTTTATTTCTGGCTTCTAGGGGCTTTCTTAGACATTAGTTAATGTTTCTCGTGACATAAAATGCTGAAAGAAATGGTGATACATGTTGGAATGACAGTTTGAGTCTGCTGAGTCTGAAGGTATATTACAGAGAAGCAGAGAAACTGCAGTACCCCAAACAGGGAATGGGTGTGGCAAGTGATTACAGATTATTAAGAAGAAATGTGAACAAGCTGATTTATCTAAACAATAAAAACAAAATTTTAGACAAGATACATCCTAAAAACATGTTTGAGGAATTCCCAGAATCTTTAGCCAAGACAATTGACTTCAGACTACGCAAACACAAAGCTATATTATAAAGATTGTAACAGGTAGCTTTTTGTTAATGTCCAAATCTCAATCAAAGATTATAATGTATACCAAATATTAGAACAATATGGCCCCATCAAAAACATAAAATTTTCTAAAGCAACCATAGAAAGTATAGAAAGTAATTTTAAAAATTCAAAATAGATTGAACAGGCCAGGGTTAGTGGCTCATTTCTGGAATCCCAACACACTGGGAGATCAAGGTGGGAAAATCACATGAAGTCAGGAGTTTGACACCACCCTGGCCAACATGATGAAACCCTGTATCTACTAAAAATACAAAGATTAGCTGGGCATGGTGGCATTTGCCTGTAATCACAGCTACTTGGGAGGCTGACACAGGAGAACTGCTTGAACCTGGGAGGGGAATGTTGCAGTGAGTGGAGATTGTACCACTGTACTGCAGCCTGAGCAACACTGTCTCAAAAATACAATGAAAAAGGCTGGGCTTTGTGGCTCGTGCCTGTAATCCCAGCACTTCAGGAGGCCAAAGTGGGTGGATCATTTGAGGTCAGGAGTTCAAGATCAGCCTGGCCAACATGGAGAAACCCCGTCTCTACTAAAAATACAAAAAATTCGTTGGGCGTGATGGCAGGCAGCTGTAATCCCAGCTACTCGGGAGGCTGAGGCAGGAGAATCGCTTGAACCTGGGAGGCAGAGTTTGCAGTTAGCCGACATCACGCCACTGCACTCCAGCCTCAGCGACAGAAAAAGACTCCGTATCAGAAAAAAATAGAAACACAGACAACTACCGAAGATCAGAAAAATAAAGATAAAAAAATTAAAATACCAAAAATTGTGGATATAAAATTACCAAAAAACTGAAAAATTTCTTAAAAGAAAATATGACGTAAACATGAAAAAGCTGAAAAAACAAATTTAGGTACACACAAAGATAATAACAGACACAAATATAAGCAAAATTTCAAAATGGCATATGAGAAAAGAATTTTGGGCACTACAATATAAAAATGTTTCATTTATAAGCATAGTCTCATGAGATAACCAGTGAATTTATCAAAAAAAAATTTGCAAGTCAGAAGGAAACTGTGTGATATTGTTAAAGTTATAATAATTTTTAAAAAGCTGTCAAGTGGGAATAATACCATCAGCAAAATTGTACTACCAAATACAAAGACGTCCTTCCAAAATAACCAAATCCTGAGAAAGTATATTGACATTGCATATGCTCTACATATCAAAGATGCTGAAAGGAGGTTCTTTCACTGAAAATAACATAATGCAATATGCACATACACAAAAATGAAATTTATTACTTAACATTATCATAATGATACAGAAAACATTTTTAATTATTCTCTAAAATTTAAAAGGTAAAAGTATAGACATGATTATAAACATCTGTTAATGAACATAAAACATAAAAAAATAAAATTAGCAAAATCAATAACAAAGTTGAAGGCAGACGTAATGATGAAGAATTTTTGTATGCAATTGAAGTTAGTTTTTTACCATATTCAAATATATTGTTGGATCTTTCAGAGGTTTTATGTAATCCCCCAAGGTATCTAAGAAAATATTTATATAGATACACAAAAGAAAGTAAGAAAAAAACTGAAAGCATATCAATACAGAAATAAAAAAACACAAAAAAAGACAGAAAGAGAAAATGAGAGAAAAAGATAGAATCAAATAAAATGATTAATAATATAACATTAGTAAGTTTTTCTCTTTCAGAAAACCATTTAAATATATATATAATTATCTTTCCAATCAAGAGACATACTTTCAATAAACAGGTTTATTAAAAAGTGTTTAAAATCAATGTTCAACTTGCCTTTCTACAGGACTCAGTTGAAATCTAATGACAAAAAAGACTGAAAGTGAAATAATGGAAGTAGAAATGTCACGTAAATATTAACCAAATGAGAGTAGAAGAGGTCAAAATAATATTATACAAGATACATGTTAAGTCAAAAACTGTCATATTTTATAGAATGTACTTTAAGTTCAAACTTCAGAAAGACAAAGGACATTAAATAATATATAGATTCATTCACTGAGAACCTATGACAAATTTATTTATCCATGTGTGTATTTGTGTGTGTGTGTCTCAAACTAGGGTTTCAAATATATAAAGCAAACACTAACAAAATTGGATAAACACAGAGAGAGCAATATAATTATAGTAGGATATTTCAATACCCCACTTTCTGTAATAATAATAAAACAAGACATAATATTAATAATGGAACAGAGGACTAGAAGGCAGTAAAAAACACTTATTTCTAATGAAGGTATAGAGAACACTCCTCAACAGCATCAAAATACACAGCCTTCTCAATAGCTCAAACAACATTCTCCTATATAGACCACCTGTTAGTCCAAAAACAAAATCTTAACACATATATATATATATTTGAGATGGAGTGTTTCACTCTTGTTACCCAGTATGGAGTGCAATGGTGCAGTCTCAGCTCACTGCAACCTCTGCCTCCCAGGTTCAAGTGATTCTCCTGCCTGAGGCTCCTGAGTAGCTGGGATTACAGGCATGCACCACCACGCCCAGCTAATTTTGTATTTTTAGTAGAGGCACGGTTTCTCCATGTTGGTCAGGCTGGTCTTGAACTCCTTACCTCAGGTGATCTGCCTGCGTTGGCCTCCCAAGTGCAGGGAGTACAGGTATGAGCCACCGCGCCCAGCCTCAACACATTTTCTAAAATGTAGATTTTATAGATTACTTTCTATGACAAAAAATGAAATTAGAATATAAAACAATAATATAAATATTTGATAAATTTACAAATATATAGAAATCATATGACACACTCTTGAGCATGCACTTGTTGAAATTACTGGGCTGGGTGCGGTGGCTCATGCCTGTAATCCCAGCACTTTGGGAGGCCGAGGTGGGTGAATTTAACTCCATCTCAAAAACAAACAACCAAAAAAGAAAGAATTAATACTGTGAAGATGTCTGTACTGCTCAATTTAATCTACAGATTTAACTCAATGTTTTTCAAATGTCTCATTGCATTTTTGAAGAAATAAAAACAACAAATCCAAAAGTATATGGAATCTAAAGAGACAAGAAAGTACCCAACAATCTTCAAAAAAAGGAACAACGTTGGAGGCTTTACCATTTCTGATTTCAAAACACATCAAAAAGCTACAGAATTAAAACAATTGGTATGAGTATAAAGGTGAAAAATTAGAAAAATAAAACAGAATGCAGTACATATATTAACTTTCACATAACTATTGCAGCATTGTGACTGAAAGCCAATAGGTAAAAGCAATGCAAATTTCTGTCACCAAATCATTCAGTAGGTACAAAAATACTGGAATATCACTCAGTGAGCCACTGCACCCGGCCTAGAAATATTTTATTGTAAATTTTGTTATGTTTTTGACACAAAATACATAAGTAAAAATAATACCTAAGAGAGATACAGAGTTATTATAGTTTTTAAATTATCTTCAAATCCAAAAGTGTTTCTTTCACACAAAACAATGTAGATTCACAAATAAATAGATGTTGAAATTAGGAGATTTTTTATGACTACTCATCTAGACAGGATTAAAAAACTGTTATAGGCTTGGTGCAGTAGCTCATGCCTGTAATCCCAGCACTTAGGGAGGCTGAGGTGGGTGGATCACCTGAGGTCGGGTGTTCGAGACCAGCCTGACCAATGTTTAAGCCCCATCTCTACTAAAAATACAAAATTAGCCTGGCATGGTGGTGCATGCCTGTAATCCCAGCTACTTGGGAAGCTGAGGCAGGAGAATTGCTAGAACCCAGGAGGCAGAGGTTGCAGTGAGCTAAGATCCCACCATTATATTCCAGCCTGGGCAACAAGAGCAAAACTCTCTCTCAAACAAACAAACAACAACAAAAAACTCCAAAAAACCTACTACAAGAAACACACAACAAATATACAAGTGACACAAAAATACCAGGATAAAATTTATACAGGCCAACAAACATAGAAATAATTATACTGGTAATAGACATACAGCTTATTCACATTTAATTTTGCTCCACACTGTCTTAAATTGTACAGAGTTAAATATTGTCATATACAATTATAATATAAACTAAAAAATCAAAACACAACTAACTGCTGTGATGTGGCATACCCAAAAATATATAACACAATAATATAAAATCACAAAACAAAATTAACACATGGAATGTAAAACTTATTGGATACCATCAAGCAGATCAATGTATTCATGAAAGGAATCTTAGAATATAGAGAAAAAGTAATACAGACATTACTTGAAGATTAAAAAAAAAAAAAAGCTGAGAACTTCCCAAATTTTAATGTAACAAAAAAAAATTTCTAACCAGTAAAACTCAATTCAAAATTACACTACTTCAATAAGAAGACAAAAATAAAGACTTTCCAAAATAAAAGGTGAGACTGTTCATCACCACTAACAGTTCTACAAAATATACTACATGGGGCTGGGCACACTGGCTCACGCCTGTAATCCCAGCAGTTTCAGAGGCCGAGGTGGGTGAATTGCCTGAGATCGGGAGTTCAAGACCAGCCTGAACAATACGGTGAAACTGCGTCCCTACTAAACATGCAAAAATTAGCTGGGCGTGGTGGTGCACACCTGTAGTCCCAGCTACTCAGGAGGCTGAGGCAGGAGAATCACTTGAACCCAAGAGGCGGAAGTTGCAGTGAGCCAAAATCATGCCATTGCACTCCAGCCTGGGCGACAGAGCAAGACTCCATCTCAAAAAAAAAAAAAAAAAGTGCCAGGTGAGATGGCTCAAGCCTGTAATCCCAGCACTTTGGGAGGCCAAGGCAGTTGGATCATCAAAGGTCAGAAGTTCGAGATAAGCCTGGCCAACATGTTGAAACCCCATGTCTACTAAAAATAATAATAATAATAAAAATTAGCCCAGCATGGTGGCATGCACCTGTAACCCCAGCTACTCGGGATGGAATCTGAGGCAGGAGATTTGCTTGCACCTGGGAGGCGGAGGTTGCAGTGAGCCAAGATCATGCCACTGCACCCCAGGCCTGGGTGACAGAGGGAGACTCGGTCTCAAAAAAAAAAAAGTAAAAAAAAAATACTGCACGGGGCTCAGGCACAGTGCTTCATGCCTGTAATTCTACAGCTTTGGGAGGCCAAAGCAATCACATCACTTGAGACCAGAAGTTCAAGACCAGCCTGAGCAACATAATGAGACCCTACATATAAAAACAGAGAAATGTTAAAATGTGTCCGTTATGTAGAAACATAAAATGGTGCTGGACAGCATCATAAAAACATATGTAAATATAAAGCTCTCCAATAAATGTAAATATATGGACACATATAGAATTCTTTACTATCAAAATGATGGTAAATCCCAGCCACACTGGGAATGGTGGCTCACATCTGTAATTTCAGCACTTTAAGAGGCTGAGGTGGGCTAATCACCTGAGGTCAGGAGTTCAAGACCAGCCTGGCCAACATGGTGAAACCCCATCTATACTACAAATACAAAAAATTAGCCAGGCTGGCCTGATGGCAGGCACCTGTAACCTCAGCTACTTGGGAGGCTGAGGCAGGAGAATCCCTTGAACCTGGGAGGCAGAGGTTGCAGTGAGCCAAGATTGCACCATTGCACTCCATCCTGGGCAGTAGAGTGAGACTCAGTCTCAAAAACAAATCAAAACAAACAACCAAAAAAAACAAAAATGATGGTAAATAAAACCTTTAAAGTGCTTTTATAGAATATAAAAACAATGTGTAAATCTGCGTGCATCTGTTAATAGATACACCATATAAAATAATTTATATATCAATAACAAACTGGAAAATATAGAGGCATAGTTTTTGTATTCAGTTGAAGTTTTTATGAAATTAAAACATATTGTTTTAACTTTAAGATGCATGCAATCTCCAGTTTTCAGATGATTAGAAAGAAAATATTTATAGAAAGTATGCAAAAGACAATAAAAAATAAAGCATGTGAGTACAAAATTAAATAAAAATTAAGAAAGTAAAATAGGAAATGAGAAAAATATAACTACTGGAAACACATAAAACCATAAATATAACTGGTAATAACAACTTCATTTCTTTAAGCAATCATTTTAAATATAAATTAATTAAACTACTTAATAAAATAAAATGTAATCTTAGGACTTTAGAAGACCAAGGTAGGCTGATCACTTGATCCCAGGAGTTCAAGACCAGCCTGGGCAACATGGGAAAACTCAGTCTCTACTAAAAATACAAAAAAGCTACCTGTGTGTGATGGCACATACTTGTAACCCAGCTACTTGAGAGGCTAAAATGAGAAGATCATCTGAGTTTGGGAGGTTCAGGCAGCAGTGAACCACGCAAATCAGCCTGGTTGACAGACTGAGATCATATCTCAAAAATAAATGAGGCCGGGCACAGTGGCTCACACCTGTAATCCCAGCACTTTGGGAGGCCAAGGTGGGCAGATTACCTGAAGTCGGGAGTTCAAGACAAGCCTAGCCATCATGGTAAAACCCCGTCTCTACTAAAACTGTTGGCAGAAGAGCTGAGGCAGGGCTTGCTTGTCTGACATAATGTAAAAGAGTCTTGGAACATGTCCTGGGTCCAGGGTCTAAAACCCCTCATGACCTTTGGAAAACCAAGCTCTGTGCCAAATGGTGGAAGCCTGCCCTGCCACACTACAGTCTAAGCCCAGAGCATAAAACTCCTTGTGGCTTGGAGAGAACCCAGGGCTCAGGGCATAAAACCCCTTGTAACCTCTGGAATGTGTCCAGACTCGCTGGCCCCTTGCTCCTTGCTCTCGGAAGATCATAAATGATTGGATCTTGAATTAGAAGAACCTGTTCTCCCTTATCTTAAGTAGCACAGCATATGCTAAACTGTCACAGCTACACTTGATGCACCACTACCTTTCTATCCTCACGTCCTCACCTGTCTACCCTCATATCCACACGTCCTCAGCACCTGCTTCATTGTTTGATTACCAATAAATAGTGTGGACTCCCAGAACTCAGGGCCTTCACAGCCTCCAAACTGGCTTTGGCCTCCTGGACCCACCCTATGTACTCTTAACTTGTCTTGTCCCATTCCTTTGACTCTGCCAGACTTCGTAGCCCCCACAACCTGGTGTTGGATCTGATCACCCCAACAAAAACTACAAAAATTAGCTGGGTGTGGTTGTGGGTGCCTGTAATTTCAGCTACTTGGGAGGCTGAGGCAGGAGAATAACTTGAACCCGGGAGGTGGAGATTGCAGTGAGCTGAGATTGCACCATTGCACTCCAGCCTGGGCAACAAGAGAGAAACTCCATCTTAAAATAAATAAATAAATAAATAATATAAAGAAAATGATATAGGATGCCTGAGTGGTTTTTTTTTTTTTCTTGAGACTGAATTTTGCTCTTGTTGCCCAGGCTGGAGTGCAATGGTGCGATCTTGGCTAACTGCAACCTCTGCCTCCTGGGTTCAAGCAATTCTCCCACCTCTGCCTCCTGAGTAGCTAGGATCACAGGTGCATGCCACCACACCTGGCTAATTTTTGTATTTGTAGTAGACATGGGGTTTCTCCATGTTGGACAGGCTGGTCTCAAACTACTGACCTCAGTTGACCCACCCACCTTGGCCTCCCAAAGTGCTGGGATTATAGGTGTGAACCACCATGCCCAGTGTGAGTGGTTTTTCTAAAAAGCATACAGTATGCTGCCTACAAGAGACTCATTTTAGCATTCAGTCAAATAGGCTGAAAGTAACCGAATGAAAAAGATGTATATTCCATGAAAATAGTAACCACAAGTGAGTGAAGTGATCATAATTATATTAGACATATTATGCTTTAAGTCAAGTACTACCATGAGACAAAAATTGATAATATATTATGGTAAAGTGAGCTGATTTACCAGGAATCTTTAACTATAATATTTATTTATCTATATGAATGTGTGTATATAACATCAGAGCTCCAAAATAAATAAAGCAAATATTGACAAAAGTGAAGCAAGACATACATAGTAACATAATAATTGTAGACATCAAGACTCCATTTGCAATAATAAATAGAAAATTCAAATAAAAAATAAGAAACAGAAAACCTGGGCAACATTATAGACTGTACTAATTATTTTGCATATACAGAAATTCTTGAGAGTGCATAATTTACAAAGAAAAAAAGTTTATTTGGCTCACAGTTTGGCAGACTGTATAAGAAGTGTGTGCCAGCATCTGCTTTTGGTGTGGGTCTCAGGAAACTTACCGTCATGGTGGAATGTAAACAGTAACTGGACATATTATATGATAAGAGACTGAGCAAGTGTGAGGTGAAGGAGCCAGGTTCATGTAATGAACCAGCTCTCATTTGAATTAATAGAGTGTAAACTTTTTGGTTACCAAGAGGATGTACCAAGCCATTCATGAGAAATATGCCCCCATACAAAAACATGTCCCACCACGTCCTTCATCCAACATTGAGGATTTATATTGCAGCATGAGCTTTGGATAACATGAACATCCAAACCATGTAATAGACCAACTAGGCTTCACAGACACATACAAAACTTTCCAGTCAAAACCAGGATAATGTACAATATTCTTATCTGCATCTGGTGTATGCTGTTAGGACACACACCAAATTTTATTAAATTTAAAAATACTGACTGAGTGCAGTGGCTGTTGCCTATAATCCTAACACTTTGGGAGATCAAGATAAGAGGATCCATTGGGGCCAAAATCCTGAGACCAGTCTGGGTAACACGATGAGAAACTTTTAATAAATAAGCATTTAAAATAAACCAACGTTATTTTTTATGTTTTAAATATATGCTATTCTTACACAAAATGAAACTGCTGTAATCTAACTTTAGAAGCAAAAAACAGCCTTACATTGTTAAATATAGAAAATATACACATATATATTTTGCAGAATAAAGTGAGACCCTCTGATATGTGAAACAAATATTAGGAAATAAACTATTTTATTATGTAGATGTAAGCTGAAGAAAGTAGATGAAAATACTATAATTCCTTTTTGCCTGTGGCAAACTTAAATTTACAAATAACTGAGTAAATATGGAGTGCTTACTAATTATCTAATTTACTTCAGGAATACCATCAAATTCTAGCATATTGTCCTAAATATCTGAATCTAAAATTACAGGCAAATCTGAAAGAGAAAATAGAAAGTAAAAATGTGTAGGGAGAGTGACATCAGTAAGATAAAAAGATTAAAAGTGCCCTATTTTCATATCCCCTCACAGCAAAAAAAAAAGTCAGCCATCCCTGACAAAAATGCCTTTATGAGAAACCAGGCATTATGGCTCACACCTGTAATGACAGCTACATGGTACATTAAGGTTGGAGAACTGCTTCAGGCCAGGATTTCAAGACCAGCCTGGGTTAAGCAGCAAGATGCCATCTCCAAAATAAGTGTCTCGAAGAGAGATTTGAGATCCCAGGAGGGAGTTGTGAAACACTACTAAAGCTTAAGATTGAGAAGTGTTCTATTAAGAAGGCAGGATGTCATTCAGGTGGGAAACTACAGGACCCCTGTTTTTGGCTACAGACCAGGATAGGGTTCACCCAACTTGATCCCACTGAGAATTCTGAACTTAACTCTGTAACCATCCCAAACTCCTCCCAGCCACAGTCTGGGAGAGGTCCTGCCATTCCAGAGACCTGAAGGAAGATACCCATTTACAGCCATGCAGGCAGACTTGTAGACCTTGGCCTTTGCTGTGGTCCCTGAAGTCGTTCAATGGCTCAGTTTCAGTACCTGAGCCACAGTTCATGGCCAGTTTTGCCTACATAGAAACCCAAACAGTTACATGAGGAAATGCTCTCTGGTACTCAGTGAAAGCCATACTCATCCATGTCCTGATATAAGGCCCACCATATGCAGACCCAACTGCAAAAACATGCCCTAGTGTCTGCCCCATGGAGCAAAGTCCTGAAAAATTTGCAGCGTGTCCAAAACAAAATGAGAATTATGACTACCCAAGCCCCTGTAACAAGCCAACTAAAGGTGGACCCTAGTGCAGACCCAGCGGCCTTGTGACCAAGCTACAACCCCTCTTCACTACAAATTCAGAGGGCATCTCATAACCCCAAGGGCCCAAAGAAAGATCCTTACCTTCTAAAATCAGTTCATGAAAACTTGAAGAGGTGTTTGCTCCATCAAATTCAGACACCAATACAAAACTATATTGTGTCCATTGTCAATACTTCTATTTTAATGTAGAACTGGAAGTATGTGGCAGAAGAATTACTCAAAGAAACAAAAAAATCCATTGAAATGAAAGAAAAATAAGTAAAAAGTTGCTGTTTGTAGATCATACAATCTTATATTTTAGAAAAACCATCACAGAACATTAAAAGCTACATAAACTAATAAATACACTCGTAAATTAGCAAAATATAAAATTAACATGCAAGTATATATATGGTTTCAGAAACTTCAACTACCAGATAAAATAGAAGATGAAACAAATCTTATTTACTATAGCATTAAATAATAAATTTGTGAGAAAAAATTAACCAAGGAGGTAAAAATCTTCACAATAAAAAAAAACAATGAAAAAATTAGAGAAGATCTAAATAAATTTTAAAATATTTTGTGTCTACAGATTGAAAGAATAAATATTATTAAAGTGCCATATTATCCAAAGTGATCTATAGATTCAATAAATTTCCTATCAAAATTGCAGTGGTATTTTTTTCACAGTAACGGAAAATACAATTCTAAAATTTACATGAAACTAAAATAAACTTTGAATAGCCAAAGCAATCTTGAGAAAAAAGAACAAAGCAGAAAAATATCATACTTATAATTTCAAACTATATTTCAAGGCTATATAGTAATAAAAACAGAATGGGCTGGGCAGAAAAATGAACAAAAATATTCAACAGAAACAACTACTCCCACACATTTCAAATCTGATGCAAAAAAAAACTTTAAAAACTTTTAGTTTCTCAAAATCATGCAGATAGTTGTGTGTCCCCAAAACAATAGAAAAGCAGCCAGATTGTGCAGTCTCTTATATGCCCTGAAGTGGACTTTGGCTCTCACTGTGAACTTGAAGGAAGCTCACGGAAAGAAAAGTGGAATTTGTAGAGAATTTAAAAGCACAAGACAGAAGATACCCCTTTGTGAGAATAAAATTTAAAAAACAAACAAACAAACAATAGAACAGATGCCCAGGAACTATTTCCTTTGGAACACAGCTTCCCAAATCACATTCTAAGGACTGGCTTTCTCTTTGACCTTGGGATCTCTAATCTGTGTCATCTGTTGTATTCATTTTCACTCACACCTACCTGGGGGTTTGGCAATTATCTCATGTCTCTTCATAGTCAAAGGTTTTTTTTCCTGCTCCAGACAGGTGATCAGGTCTGGTTCAGAGACACCAATACATGTTTTATTAAAAATAAATAACATGAATCTTGCTCATATTCTCCAATTACAAGCTAGTAATGTGTTCAGCAGAGAGGATGTGATAAAATATTCTAGTAAATTAGGCTAGGCGCAGGGGCTCACGACTGTAATCCCAGCACTTTGGGAGGCCGAAGTGGGTGAATCACAAGGTCAGGAGATTGAGACCATCCTGGCTAACACAGTGAAACCCCGTCTCTACTAAAAATACAAAAAATTAGCCAGGCATGGTGGCGGGTGCCTGTAGTCCCAGCTACTTGGGAGGCTGAGGCAGGAGAATGGCGTGAACCCGGGAGGCAGAGCTTGCAGTGAGCCAAGATTGCACCACGGCACTCCAGCCTGAGCAACAGAGCGAGACTCCATCTCAAAAAAAAAAAAAAAAAAAAAAAAAAAAAAAAAATATATATATATATATATATATATATGCATATATATTCCAGTTATCAGGGGAAATTCAGCCAGATGTTGGGTGAAATTCACTCCCAATATTTCATGTAGGTTCTTTTCTATTTTCCCTAAGTGTTGGCCAGTCTGAGAAATAAAGGGACAGAGTACAAAGAGAGAAATTTTAAAGCTTGGTGTCTGGGGGAGACATCACATGTCAGCAGGTTCCGGGAGGCCCCTGAGCCATAAAACCAGCAAGTTTTTATTAGTGATTTTCAAAAGGGGAGGGAGTGTACAAATAGGGTGTGGGTCACAGAGATCACATGCTTCACAAGGTAATAAGATATCACAAGGCAAATGGAGGCACGGTGAGATCACAGGACCACAGGACCAGGGTGAAATTAAAATTGCTAATGAAGTTTTGGGCATGCATTGTCATTGATAACAGCTTATCAGGAGACAGGGTTTGAGAGCAGACAACTGGTCTGACCAAAAATTTATTTGGTGGGAATTTCCTCATCCTAATAAGCCTGGGAGCGCTATGGGAGACTGGAGCTTATTTCATCCCTACAGCTTGACCATAAAAGATGGCCGCCCCCTGAAATGGCCATTTTAGAGGCCTACCCTCAGGGATGCATTCTCTTTCTCAGGGATGTTCCTTGCTGAGAAAAATAATTCAGTGATATTTCCCCCATTTGCTTTTGAAAGAAGAGAAATATGGCTCTGTTCCACCCGGCTCACTGGCGGTCAGAGTTTAAGGTTATCTCTCTTGTTCCCTGAACATTGCTGTTATCCTGTTCTTTTTTCCAAAGTGCCCAGATTTCATATTGTTCAAACACACATGCTCCACAAACAATTTGTGCAGTTAACGCAATCAACACAGGGTCCTGAGGTGACATACATCCTCCTCAGTTTATGAAGATGATGGGATTAAGAGATTAAAGACAGGCATAGGAAATCACAAGGGTATTGACTGGGGAAGTGATAAGTGTCCGTGAAATCTTCACAATTTATGTTCAGAGATTGCAGTAAAGACAGGCATAAGAAATTATAAAAGTATTAATTTGGGGAACTAAAAAATGTCCATGAAATCTTCACAATTTATGTTCTTCTGCCATGGCTTCAGCCAGTCCCTCCATTCGGGGTCCCTGACTTCCTGCAACACTAGTAAATTATTACCAAAATACTAAGTTATAACAGAAACTTCTAAATATATAGAAAATACTTTCAACTTGTAGGTTTCTTTTTGTTTTTTGTTTTTTTTTTGAGATGGAATTTCACTCTTGTTGCCCAGGCAGGAGTTTAATGGCGTGATCTCAGCTCACTGCAACCTCTGCCTCCTGGGTTCAAGAGATTCTACTGCCTCACCCTCCAGAGTAGCTGGAATTATGGACATGCACCATCATGCCCGGCTAATTTTGTATTTTTAGTAGAGACAGAGTTTCTCCATGTTGGTCAAGCTAGTCTCGAACTCCTGACCTTAGGCAATCCACATGCCTAAACCTCCCAAAGTGCTGGGATTACAGGAATGAGCCACCGCACCTGACCCTCCTTGTAGGTTTTTAAATTTTACTACCTGGTACTACTGAATCAAAAATTGGTGATGGCAATGAGATTTTCAGGTGGGGGTATCAGTATTTTATGCCACTAAACTGCTGGAATTACCACTAATTCAGGGTTAAGAATACAACTCATCTTAGGAATGTCAAAAGTTTGGATTAAGATAAAAATTCTTGAAGAAATTGTTTTCTAAATGAACAAATTCTGAACATTTTCTGGAGAAAGGCATCCAAAACTCTTCTATGCAAAGAATAAATTAGTAAAAAATATTCTAGAAAAAAAGAGAAATAAAACCTTTAGGGTATATTATGAATTATGTATTCAAGTTATACTCACCAAGGAAGACCACACGCACAAGAACACAGCATCACTGTTGAAATATTCCTCCCAAAAAAGTAAATAAAATCTGAATTTAACCATGAAGAAACATGTGTTATGTCAACTTCAAAGTACAGATTACTCCTATGTTCTGTAATTTTTAGTAGCAATTTTAAGTAGGCTTCATTTAGCACCCTAGAGAGCAGGTATCTCTTAATAAGTTTTTTCAGATCTTTCTGGGTAATAAATTCCATCTCATTTAAATAAGCATTTTCTTAATCCTGTTCTGCACAGAGCTAATGGAACACACAGATGGAGCCTCAACATTACATGTTCTCCATCTTTACTAAGGACCACAGTTTTTCCTAATAGGAATCTTGAGTATCTACTTCTTTCCATGTTCAACAGCCACAAAGGGAACATTTTTGATATTGCATGTTGGAAACAATTGCTCAGAGTCAAACAGAAAACAAGCACTCAAACAGAGAACGTCTCAGCAAGGCAAATTTACTTCTATAGAAGGCAGCATCTCGTGGATGGAACAATGGTGAGAGTACTTTTGGACAAGGGAGGAGAAGGGGGTCTTATCCCTAAGGCGGCTAGTCCCTACTTCTGTGTGTTTCCCCTATTGGGTAGGGTTGGACCACACAGTTTAAGCTAATTTTGATAGGCTATTTTAAAGGGACCAAGGGTACAAGCCAGAGTGGCATGGTGAGTAGTTTTGGCAGAAAGGAGAGTTACAAGGCAGGTGACTGGGGTGACTCAGGATACAGCAGGTGATGAGGGATGACTAAAAACTCTAAATATGTGAGTTAGAAGGGGGTTGTTTACTAAACTAGGAGCAAGGAACATAAAGATTGAGGAAGTTAAACTTTAAAATGGAGAATAAACAACAGGAAAGCAGAACATACTGACATATTGATTCTTTGAAGAGGACCTCAGAACTCATTGTACTTAATGATCTTCACCTTTTGGATTTTAAAGTTAACAAGCTAAAACCTTTGAAGATAAATTTACGTATCCTACATTGTGGATCATAAATTCTTGCTGAGAATTCTGCATGGCATATAAGAAGCTATGATGAAGAGAATGTAGAGAAGGCTCTGGAATATAGGAAAGAAATATTTTTCAGAAACCCTTGACTATCATAAGAATTTAAAGAAGTAGTTAAACCAAACTCATTAGGGAGGAAAAACACAAGTAGAGAAGTAAAGGTTTGTGAGTATTAAACGCATGGCAGTCCAAGAGGAAAAGTTGACACAGCTCTTCATCTGACACATGTTTACCTGAAGGAAAGCCACTTTTTTTCTTTCTCCTCCTTCTCTGGAATTTATTCTCAGTTGAGATTCTCTGGACAAATTACACCTGCATCTTGAGAATATGCCTTTAAAGATGTCAGTACCACATGTTTACCTGCTATCATAACATCAACTGGAAGAAAAACAAAGACAGAAAATGTCCACTCATTTCTGTCCTTTAAAACAGAAGAGATTCAGGAAAAATGAGCTGCTCCATGAAGATAAAAATATAAGTTTCTCCTTTCCTGTTCTCAGGTGCCCTCCTGTGCCACAGACTCTAGCAATTTCTCAGGGGCCATATCACCTGTCTTTATTTGCCCTGTAACAGTAGCATACAAATTTAGTGAAATAAAAGATACTTAAATTGTGTTTACTTATAATTATCCCTATTGAATAAAGTTATAAACATTTCAGACGAATATCTACTTACTGTAACAATTTCATAGTAATTTTCTTTGGATATTTGATATCTAAGTATGAATAATTTTAATGAACTAGTCATAATGTATGTAGCATTTTTAAAAATTACAAATATATTTCAGTTAAAACACTTTATATTTCAAAAGTATAAAAAAATACTAAAATAACCATTTAAATGATTCATTCAAAGTAAGTATTTCAGCTTTATCTTCATACGATTGTAGACAATGCTGTTTATGTCTCACACCTGTAATTCCAACATTTTGGAAGAGTGAGGCGGGTGGGTCACCTGCGGTCAGGAGTTCAAGATCAAGCTGGCTAACATGGTGAGACCCCATCTCTACTAAAAATGCAAAAACTTAGCCTGGCATGGTGGCTTGCACCTGTAATCCCAGCTACTTGGGAGGCTAAGGCAGGAGAATTGCTTGAACCTGGGAAGCAGTGGTTGCACTGAAATGAGATCACACCACTGCACCCCAGCCTGGGTGGCACAGTGAGACTCTGTCTCAAAAGAAAGAAAGTACTGTTTAATGTATATGAATGCAGGTTGTCTACAAACACTACACATAACTATGCTAATTGTTCTGAAGTAATCAATAGAAAGCAAGGTACAACTACAGACTCCACTGTTTAGTTTATACACTGAACTGTTCTTGCTTTCGCAGTATAAGTCCTTCAGCCTGCAAATACTGCATAATTGCTTTGGATCATCAGGTTTCTGTCAAAGATACTTAGTGTCTTTTAGTCTTTATCATTCTGTATTGCTAAATTTATTCCTATTTTTGTGTTAAGTTTCTGTGTGCTCTTAAAATTAGCTCTTATCCAAACAAATCTGTGTCTACTTTAGAGGACTAAAAATGAAAAAAAATAAATTTTCGAGAAGCAAAAACAAAGCAATAAATCTGAAGTACTAGAGAAAGATAATCTGGAGTCAGATTATCTGACAAAAGCTTTATTCAGCTGTTAATATGATTTACCTGTATTTCAAAAAAGCAGAGAAAAACATCTACAAATAATCTAATTCCCTTAAGAAAAGAGGGAATAGCAAAATATTTTTTGGAACTTTTTAAAGAGTTTTTGAACTCTTGAACATCTGAATTTTGCACACTAGATGCGCTTGAAAGAATGTTTATGGGAGAAAAAGCAGAAGAGAGAAAGATGTTATAAAAAATCCATGAGTGCCCAAGACCAACGCAACAGAATAGAGAGCCCAGAAATAATATCACCCTCCTACACCCATCAGATTTTTGACGAAACTGACAAGAAGAATGTGGGAAAAATTCTCTCTTTAATAAATGATGCTGGAATAACTACCTAGCACTATGTAGAAGACAGAAACTGGACCCCTTCATTACACCATATAAAAAAATCAACTCAAGATAAAGACTGAAAAGAAAAACTTAAAATTATAATAAACCCTGCAAGATAACCTGGGAAATACCATTCTAGATATAGAAACTGGCAAAGACTTCATGATGAAGCTACCGAAAGTAATTGCCACAAAAGCAAAAATTGACAAATGGGACCTATTTAAACTAAAGAGCTTCTTCACAGCAAAAGAAACTATCAACAGAGTAAACAGACAACCTAGAGAATAAAAGAAAATATTTGCAAACTTTGCCTGACAAAGGTCTAATAATCAAAATTTCTTAAGAACTTAAACAAGTTTACAAGAAAAAACCAAACAATCTCATTAAAAAGAGGGAAAAAATATGAACAGATGCTGTTCAAAAGAAGACATACATGTGGCTAACAAGCAAATGAAAAAAAATGCTCATCGCTAATCATTAGAGAAATTAAAAGAGAAACCACAATGAGATGCCACATCACACTGGTCAGAACACTACAAACCCATCAGGATGGCTATTTTTTAAAAGTCAAAAAGTAACAGATGCTGGCAAATTTGCAGAGAAAAGGGAATGCTTATACTCTGCTGGTGGGAGTGTAAATTAGTTCAACAACTATAAAAAGCAGTGTGGTGATTCCTCACATAACTAAAAACAGAATTATCAATTGACCCAGGAACCTCATAATTGGGTATATATCCAAAGAAATATAAATTATTATATTATCAAGACACATCCACATGCATGTTCACTGCAGAACTATTCACAATAGCAAAGACAAGGACAGGCCCTAAATGCCTATCAATGGTAGACAAGATAAAGAAAATATGGTATGGTCAGATGCGGTGGCTCATGCTTGTAATCCCAGCACTTTGGGAGGCTGAGGCAGCTGGATTGCCTGAGTTTAGAAGTTTGAGACCAGCCTGGTCAACATGGCAAAATCCTGTCTCCACGGAAAACAAAATGAAAAATCGGCCAGGTGTGGTAACGCACACGTGTAGTCCCAGTTACTTAGAAGGATGAGGGCTACAGAATTGCTTGAGCCTGGGAGGTTGAGACTGAAGTAAGCAAATATCATGCCATAGCACTCTAGCCTGGGCAATAAGCCTGTCTCCAAAAATAAAATAAAATAAAAGATTTAGTAAAAACAAAATATGGTACATAAGCATCATGGAATACTCTGTGGCCATTTAAAAAATGATCATGTCCTTTGCAATAACATTGATGAAGCTGGAGACCATTATGCTTAGAAAACTAATGCAGAGGCCGGGCACTGTGGCTCACACCTGTAATCCCAGCAATTTGGGAGGCCAAGGCGGGTGGATCACCTGAGGTTGGGAGTTTGAGACCAGCCTGATCAACATGGAGAAACCCCATCTCTACTAAAAATACAAAATTAGCCACACATGGTGTTGCCCGCCTGTAATCCCAGCTACTTGGGAGGCTGAGGCAATGGACTAGCCTGAATCCAGAAAACGAAGGTTGCGGTGAACCGAGATCATACCATTGCACGCCAGCCTGGGCAAAAAGAGCAAAACTCCTACTCAAGACAAAACAAAACAAAAAACAACAAAAAAAGAAAACTACTGCAGAAACAGAAAACCAAATTCATGTTACTATTTGTAAGTAAGAGCTAAGTAATAAGAACACATGAATACAAAGAGGAGAAAAACAAGACACTGGAGCCTAGTTAAGGGCGGAGGGTGGGAGGACTCAGAGGATCAGAAAATATACGTGTTTGGTGCTATGCTTAGTACCTCAGTGACAAAATAATCTGCACACCAAACCCCTGTGACATAATTTTAGCTGTTTAACAAACCCACGTGTGTACCTCAAACAAAAAATAAAAGCTAAAAGAAAAAAAATGTCCCTGGGTGGGACAGAGTGTAATGTAGGTGAAAGGAATAATTTTTTGCTACAGATAGTGGCCCAGGTGGGGCTGTATTCTGATTCATTTCTGTGTGCATGCAGGCAGATGAGATTATGAACAGGAGGTCCAGAACCCTAGGCTGGTGGAAAAAACAGGTTGCTGCTGCAGATTCATTGTTCAGGGATGGGGATATGCAAGGAGACTTGCAGACACTTGTGGCTTTTTGGCAAGAAACACTTTGATCAAAAATGCCATGGTGAAGTTTCTGAGGATGGTGCCTAGTCCTGGGAGGAGTGTGGACATGTCACGTCTAGTGTGTGTGTTTGGGAGTAGGTGGGAATCCTGTGGTGGTAGCTGCAAGAAAAGGGGGTCTGTCATCAGAGCTCTTTCCTCTAAGTTTTCAGTCTTCTGTCACCTTGGGAGGAATCACAAGACAATGGGCAGTGTGACAGCCTGTGTACAGGAGAGCAAAGCCTCCCATTCCCAAATACCCAGAGTTTTATTACAGGCCAGGCCTCCATGATATCTTTTTTCTGGCACCAAATCTGTAGAGTTTTCTGAACATCAAACAATTCTCCAACACCAACTCATTGTCAAACGTTTGAATTCTGACACTACCCAAAGTCAGCACAGACAGCGATTCAGTCCCACAACATTGTTCTTACTGCAGATGCCAGTCACAAACCCCATGGGCCCATTTATGCTTCTGAGCTACTGTTTAAAAAGTGGGTACTTTCATAACCTCCCTGAAGTTCAATAATTTGGTAAAGCTACTCACAGAACTCAGAAAAACACTGTAATAATGTTTACCAGTTTCATATATAAGAGGCAGCCCAGGAAAAGCCAAATGGAAGAAATGTGTAGAACAAAGAGATGGGGAAAGATGAAACACATAGATAATCTTGGAAAATATTTGTGATTAATAAAATTCTCCATCTGTTGTGTACTCCAAGAACAGTTTATGGAAATAAACACTCTTCCTGTTATGACTTTTTCTTACATATCACACAGCCAGACACACACTCTGCACAGTTTCTCCTTTTTCTCATTAAGAATATCAATTGAATTTGTCTTCACTGGTCAATATATATATATATTTTTTGAGATGGAGTCTCGTTCTGTCGCTCAGACTGGAGTGTAGTGGCACAGTCTTGGCTCACTGCAACATCCTTCTCCCAGGTTGAAGCAATTCTCCTGCCTCAAGTCTCCCGAGTAGCTGGGATTACAGGTGCCCACCAGGATGCCTGACTCATTTTTGTATTTTTAGTAGACACAGGGTTTCACCATGTTGGCCAGGCTGGTCTCAAACTCCTGACCTCAGGTGATCCGCCTGCCTCGGCCTCCCAAAGTGCTGGGATTACAGGTGTCAACCACCGTGCCCAGCTTAAAATAAAATATTTTTTAATCAAACTTTACTTAGGGTTATCTCACTCCCTCAGGCTCCTGAACTTTGAGCTACCCTCAGCCTGAGTCAACATACAACCTTATTTTACATCCCTCCTAAGAACATGCTGATTTCAGGGTAAGACATTCTCTGATCCAAAATCTGACTTTTTCATCCTCCATTTGCCATTTCCCTCCCACCTCCTTTCTAAACTTGTTTGCTCCTCCCTAGGGAAGAAAGTCCTTTTATGCCTACATTTTTGCAAGCCATAAAGATCTTATAGTTGGTTATTGCTTTCTCCTGTTGCAATAATTTTTTGGAATTCTTTTTTTTACATAAATCTAACATTTTTATTTTACAAAATCTGGAAAGTGCCTCAAAACAATAACAACTTCATGATCAGTAAGACCCTCCCAGTTTCCCTTCATCTTAGCCTCAACTGCATCTGCCTGTGCGACCCCAGCTTTCCAGGGCGCTGTAGCTTCTCTCAGAACAACGGCTCCTTCAATGGCTGGGGTGAGCAGGCTGACACATCTGCAGGGAAGTCTTTCCAGAAAAAAGTAACTGGGCCTTTGGCCAGACGCAGTGGCTCACGCCTGTAATCCCAACAGTTTGGGAGGCTGAGGCGGGTGGATCACGTGGTCAGGCATTCGAGACCAGCTTGGCCAACATAGTGAAACCCTGTCTCTACTAAAAATACTAAAAAATTAGCCAGGTATGGTGGCGGGCACATGTAATCCCAGCTACTCAAAAGGCTGGGGCAGGATAATCTCTTGAACCCAGGAGGCAGAGGTTGCAGTAAGCCGAGATCCTGGCACTGCACTCCAGCCGAGGCGACAGTGTGAGACTCTGTCTCAAAAAAAAAAAAAAAAAAAAATCTAACTCTGCCTCTAATAACCTTCTGTTGCAGGCTTAATATTAGCCTTAGATTCAAGCCACTAGGTTAAAGCTTTAATTTCCATGTCAGAGTTATTCACTTGATTTTGAAACTAACTGCTTGAAAAATCCAGTGAAATTACTCTAAGTGTTTACATAAGGGAAGGAAATTTTAAGGTGCTTACTTTTTTTTTTTTTTTTTTGAGATGGAGTCTCGCTCTGTCACCCAGGCTGGAGTGCAATGGCACAATCTCAGCTCACTGCAACCTCTGCCTCCCAGGTTCTAGCCATTCTCCTGCCTTAGCCTCCCAAGTAGCTGGGACTACAGGCATGTGCCACAGCACCCGGCTAATTTTTGTATTTCTAGTAGAGACGGGGTTTCGCCATGTTGGGCAGGCTGGTCTCGAAACCCTGACCTCAAGTGATCAACCTGCCTCGGCCTCCCAAAGTGCTGGGATTGCAGGTGTGAACCACTGAAAATGGCTAAGGTGCCTGCATTTTGTATCTCCATAAGAAAAGCAAATATGTCTACTTCTTTCAGAAAATACATGTATTATTTTATTATTTCTATTAAAAATAGTGTTGTAAAAAATTAGTCATATGGGGACACTTGTAGAAGGTACATAAGTTTTATCATATATAATTTAGCATTAAACTAAGAAATCAAGGCAACATGATATAGAACTAAGATATTCACTGTCACAAATTTACCCTGCAAAAAGAGGAACTGGTGTTTTGACGAATCTATGTAATCCATAAATTATCTACCACATTTTCCTGTGGAAATATATTCATTGTCCACAGTCAAAATGAAAGAAAGATTTGCTCTAATTTTTTTTTTTTTTTTGAGATGGGGATGGAGTCTCACTCTGTCACCCAGGCTGGAGTGCAGTGGCGTGATCTCGGCTCACTGCAACCCCTGCCTCCCAGGTTCAAGCAATTATCTGCCTCAAGCTCCAGGGTAGCTGGGATTAGAGGCGCCCACCACCATGCCTGGCTAATTTTCATATTTTTAGTAGAGATGGTGTTTCACCATCTTGGACAGGCTGGTCTTGAACTGCCGGCCTCGTGATATGCTTGCCTCATCCTCCCAAAGTGCTGGGATTACAGGCATGAGACACCGCGCTTAGCTGGTAGCTAGCATTCTTAAAGCTAAGGCTTGGAATTTTGTTTGAAATAACTCAGCCATAAAAAACACATCTGAAAAAATTCCTAAGCTTACTCTGGGAAAGAAAAAGGTAAATGAGAATTATTAATAAATGGAATATATTATTAAATACCAATTTTTTGAAACTCATCTCTTTTCTGTCCTTTGTAAATATTTTCTTACCTTTTAAGCCCTATGAATAAAATGCAAATTACAGTAAAAAAAACCGATGCAGCTGGGTACAGTGGCTAATGCCTGTAATCCCAGCACTTTGGGTGGCCGAGGCAGGTGGATCACTTAAGACCATAAGTTTGGGATCAGCCTGGTCCATCTCTACTAAAAATACAAAAACTAGCAAGGCGCAGTGTTGCACACCTATAGACCTAGCTACTTGGGAGGCCGAGGCATGAGAATCACTTGAACCCAGGAGGTGGAGGTTGCAGTGATCTGAGATCGAGCCATTGAATTACAGCCTGTGCAACAGAGGGAGACTGTCTCATAAATAAATAAATAAATAAATAAATAAATAAATAAATAAATACCTGAGGTCAAAATAAGTGAACAAATCTTTTCAAGGTACACATCCAATTACCTATCCCATCCTGTTCACTTACATGCTCAATAACCACCCTCCCAGGAGATAGTGCGCTATGCCCCAGTGAGTGCCCCAGGTACATTTTACTTCATAAGTTTTTATGCCATCACACTGGGGTCAGTTTTTTTTGTCTGTTGGAGTTTTTTTTTTTTTTTTTCCAAATTTTTCACTATTTTTTGTCACTATTTTTCTGCCCCACTCAAGAGAATCCAGGGGGCAGAAATTATCTGTTTTCCCCTCAATATCAGCATCTGATTGGCTGCCCAGCAATGTGTCTCCAAGAAATGGAAGCTAGGTTGGTTGAAGACAATCTTCATGTCTCAAGGAGTTAGTTTTTCAAAAAAAAAAAAAAAAAAAAAAAAGTGCACCAGGAGATGCCTTTCAGCCCCAGGGCTGCCACCTGCTCCCTTGAGAGGCTACACTCCATACTTCACGTGGTCCTATGGGAGAAAATGACCCAAGAGCTAATAGTCACTAGACACTCCAGCAGACATAGCCATGGTGGGTATCTTGGTTTATCCCCAGAAAGTACTAAAACCCAGGCCCAGAAAAAAAACTGAAGGATAGCTGAGGACACATCACCCTATAAAGTTTCCGAAGGGTAATCTTGACCTAAAAACATTCCGGTAAGTTCTCTGGAAAAATAGAAGAAAAAGAGGCACAAATATTTTTACAATACAGTGTCAGGGGATTATTCTTTTCTTTCTTCTCAGGGGAGATATTTACAAACAGAAAACAAATTTATTTAATAGTGTTAAAAATGATTAATTGAGGAACATGGGGTACACTTGAGGCCCCACTTGGGACACATGTGAAAAATGCCAGAGAAAATCAGTCCCCTGTGGGGTGTGAAAATAATTAAGTGGCAGGCAATTAGACTTTAGGAGTCTGAGAGACTGAAGAGGCTCTATTCCCTGGATTGCTACTTCTAAGAAAAAAATATAAACTCGAGTGCATTTTTTGGTAAATCGCTACATTAGGGGAAACACAATTCAAGCTTAAACAACTATAAAATGCCAATTAAGCTCTGATTACATAATCAGGAAATTTCCACCTTGATTGTACAAATTAAGAAACTACCTAACTATATCTAACCAATTATTGAATTTAGTGTTCTTCATCATGCACCTTATAAATGTCTTTTCTTCAAGCCTCTCCCATGGACCACAAACTACAAACTGTAGCTGGGTGCTCTACAATTCTTGAATCACTCTTTAAATTACTTGTTATTTTTGCGGTGACTTCCTTTTTTTTTTTTTTTTTTTTTGACAGAGTCTTGCTCTGTCGCCCAGACTGGAGTGCAGTGGCGCGATCTCACCTCACTGCCACCTCTGCCTCCCGGGTTCAAGCGATTCTCTCTCCTCTGACCCCCGAGTAGCTGGGACTACAGGCATTCACCATCACATCCAGCTAATTTTTGTATTTTTAATAATGATGGGGTTTCCCCATTTTGGCTAGGCTGGTCTTCAACTCCTGACAAGTGATCCGCCCGCCTCGGCCTCCCGAAGTGCTGGGATTACAGGCGTGAGCGACAGCACCTGGCCCCATACATTTTTAATAGGAGAAAAGAAAAACTGTGAACCCCACGGGCCAAAGCTCTTTCCATTCGTGAACCCGCAGCCCAGTCAGGAATCTCCCCTGCCTACCCTGCCCTGGTCCCTGCACAATCTGGGAGAGACGCCGCGCTGCGGGTGCAGAGCTGCCCAGAGAGGGCTCCAGGCCAGGGCGCAGTCACTGCGCAGGGAAGAGAAACATGTTATGGCTGAAGGGAACAGAGGCCGAGCTGGGCGAGAAAAACTCCGGGAGCAGATTTTGGAGCTGAGTGCGGCAGGCCTGAGTCCTGCCACAGCCATCTCCCAGCCAAGGGAGGCGGTGACTGAGCAGGCTACCCAGCCTAGGAAACCGTGCTTTTTCCATGAAACTGTGCAATCCACAGATCAGAAGATTCCGCTCGTGAACCCACGGCACTGGAGCCTCAGATTCCAACCCCGGAGTTGAACGGATTAACAGCCTCTCAGCTAGAGTCTGCTTAAGCCTGCTGAGGTCCCGAGGGAGGGGCGACCAGCACCATGGCTGTGGCTGCCTGCAGTCTCAGCATTTTGAGCTCCTTGGAGGAGGGACAGCAGCCAGCACTGAGACTCCCAGTTGCCTAATAGGCTAAGCTCCCTCGGCACGGGAAGGGCAGCAGCCATTTCTAGAGCTCCTGGCTGCATTTTTCCCCTGCTAGAGCCAGGGAGGTTGGACAGCTTGGTCTCAAGAGGTGTCCCCCACAGCCCAACACACTGGCTGTGGCAGACAGCGGCCAAAGTGTCTCTTCAGGCCTGACCCTGACTCATCCCTCCACACTGGGCTGGGCCTCCCTGCAGGAACTCCAACAGCTCCAGTCAGGAACTCAGGGACAGAATTCTGATGTCCCTGGACCTGAGCCCCTAGGGGAAGGGGTGGCTGTGAGAGAAGAGAGACAGACCCTCTCATATTGTTTTATATTGTTTTGTACTCAGAAAAGAAAAGAAAAGAAAAGCGAAACAAAACCAGACACAAAACCAGGGAACCAGACCTGAAACCAGGCCTGAGCCTGCCTGACCTAAGCCTGGTAGTTAAAGATCAACCCCTGACCTAACCGGTTATGTTATCTATAGATTCCAGATATTGTATAGAAAAGACATTGTGAAACTTCCCGGTCTGTTCTGTTTCACTCTGACCACCGGTGCATGCAGCACCTGTCACGTACCCCCTGCTTGCTCAATCCATCACAACCCTCTCACGTGGACCCCCTTAGAGTTGTGAGCCCTTAAAAGGGACAGGAATTGCTCACTCGGGGAGCTCGGCTCTTGAGACAGGAGTCTTGCCAGATGCTCCCGGTCGAATAAACCACTTCCTTCTTTAACTCAGTGTCTGAGGAGTTTTGTCTGTGGCTCGTCCTGCTACAGTTGCAGTCTCTGTGGACCAGCAGACTTAGCCTTTCCTCCTGCTAGTTCTGAAAAATGTGGGCAGCCCACATGAGTGGGTTTCCCCCCAGCAAAACACTCCCCTCCACCAAGGAACAAAGTGCTTCATTAAATGGGTTCTCCTCTCCATGCCACCCAACTGGGTGAGACCCTTCAACAGGGGTTGTCAGACACCCTATACAGGAGCGATCCTACTGGCATCAGGTTGGTGCCTCTTGAGGTCAGAGATCCCAGAGGAAGGAGCGGACACTCTTCTTTGCTATTCTCCAACCTCCTTGATTGACATCTCCAGGAACAGGAGTGAACCAGATGAATAGAGCCTGAAGTGAACCCCCAGCAAACTGCAGCAGCCCTACAGAAGAGGGACCTGACCACTGAAAGAAAAACAAACAAACAGAAAACAACAACATCAACAACAAAAAAGTACCGACAAAAACCCCATCCAAGGCCGGGCATGGTGGCTCACACCAGTAATCTCAGTACTTTGGGAGGCTGAGACAGGCAGATCACTTGAGGTCAGGAGTTCAAAACTAGCCTGGCCAACATGGCAAAACCCCATCTCTACTAAAAAATACAAAAATTAGCCAGGCGTTGTGTTGCATGCCTGTAATCCCAGCTACTCGGGAATCTGAGACACGAGAATCACTTGAACCTGGGATGCGAAGGTTGCATTGAGCCGAGATTGTGCCACTGCCCTCCAGCCTGGGTGACAGAGTGAGACTCTGTCTCAAAACAAAACAAAACAAAACAGAAACAACCATTCAGTTGTCAACAGCCTCAAAGATCAAAACTAGACAAGTTCATGAAGATGAGAAAGAATCAACAAAAGAACTCTGAAAGGCCAGAGTGCGGCTTTTCCTCCAAGTTATCAAAATGTCTCTTCAGCAAGGGTGCAGAACTGGACAGAGGATGAGATGGATGAATTGACAAAAGTAGGCTTCAGAAGATGGGTAATAAACTCTGCTGAGCTAAAGGAACATGTTCTAAACCAATTGAAAGAAGCTAAGAACCTTGATAAAAGGTTAGAGGAACTGCTAACTAGAATAACTGGTTTAGACAGGAACATAAATGATCTGATGGAGCTAAAACACACAGCATGAGAACCTCCTGAAGCATACAAAAGTATTTGTAGCTGCATTGACCAAGCAGAAGAAAGAACATCAGAGTTTGAAGACCACCTTGCCAAAATAAGGCATGCAGACAAGATTAAACAAAAATGAATAAAAAGGAACAAATGAAGCCTTTGAGAAATATGTTCTGTGCAGGAAACACATGAGGGGAGAAGAAAAGACACGCACACAATACCTTTAAGGGTAAAC